>NC_000004.12:137406229-137709259 GCF_000001405.40 Homo sapiens | reverse complement strand
CACTGGGAAAATTGAATACCCATATGCAGAAGAATGAAACTGGACCCATATCACCACATACAAAAGTCAAATCAAGATGGAATAAAGACTGGAACATAAGACCCAAAGCTATAAAATTACTACAAGAAAACAAAGGGGAAATGCTTCTGGACATCAGTCTAGGCAAAGACTTAATTGCTAAGACATCAAAAACACAGACAACAAAAATAAAAATGGAGAAATAAGACTATATTAAACTAAAAAATCTCCTGCACAGCAATAATTGCAACAGGAAATAATTAAGAGTGAAGAGGCAAATTACCTGTTGAATAGGAGAAAATATTTGAAAACTATTCATCAAACAGGGGATTCATATGCAGAATATAAAAGGAACAACTCAAAAGTAAAAGAAAAAAACCACAAATAATCTCATTAAAAAGTGGGCAAAGGATATGAATAGATATTTTTAAGAGAAGACATACAAATGGTTAATAAGCATATGAAAAATGCTCAACATCACTAGTCATCAGAGAAATGCAAATCAGAACCACAATAGGGTACCATCTTAATCTCATTAGAACAGCTATTATTGAAAAGACAACAAACAAAATATGCTGGTAGTATGAATAGAAAAGAGAACTCTTATACACTGTTGGTGGGAATCTAAATTAGTATAGCTAATTTGAAAAAAAACAATATGGAGATTTTTCAAAACACTAAAAATAGAACTACTGTACAATCCAGCAATCTCACTACTGGCTATTTATCCAAAGGAAAAGAAATCGGTATATCAAAGTGATACCTGCATTCTCATATATACCCAGTGGAATACTATTTGTCCATAAAAATATTATAATTATGTCCTTTGCAGCAACATGGATGGAACCGGAGTTCATGTGAAGTGAAATAAGTCAGACACTGAAAGATGAATTTTGCATGTTTTCACTCATATGTGGGAGCTAAAAAAATTGATCTCATAGAGGTAGAGTGTAGAATAATAGTTATCATGGGCTGGGAAGGGTGTGTAGATGGGAGAGGGGATGAAGAGATGCGGTCAATAGGTACAAACGTACAGTAATTTAGAAGGCATAAATTCTAATGTTTGATGGCAGTGTAAGAAAATTAGAGTTTGCAACAATGTATTGTATATTTTAAAGTAGCTAGAAGAGAGAACTTGAAATGTTTCCAACATAGAAATAATAAATACCAAAGGTGATGGGTACCCCAAATACCCTGATTTGATTATTACACATTCTATGGAAGTAACAAATTATAGCATATACCCCATAAATATGTAAAATCTTATATATCAATTAAAAATTACCACAGACTCCCAGTTACTTTTGACACCAGACTCAAATTCTGCTTTGTTTTCAAGTCTCTTTATATCCATTCTGCGTGTTGTCAGTTTGTACCTTGCTTTGCTCCCTGACACATCCATTTGTATTGGTCTGGTGATTCATCTCACATTCTCCGCCCAAATTTGTACTTACTGCCCTTTGTTTCCTATGTTTATTTTATGCAGTTCCATCCATTCATTTAAGGAGAAAACAGTTTCTTCCCCCTTTACTCATTTAATCTTATGTATCCTTCCAGATTTTGCACCACTGAAAGTGCCTCTGATCTTTCTGACATTTATTCATCTTATCTTCTCCAATATTCTACAGCATCTTCACCCATCTCTATAAATCACTCTTTAAGAATATGCTGTTAACTTGGCTAATTATTTCATGTGTATTGTTTTTACCTCTTCAAGCCTAATTTACATACTTTTTAAGACTGATATATGTCATACATATCCTTTATTTTTGCAAACTTCCATTATATCTAGCACAATAATGACAAAATGATGTGTGCACAAAAATCCTTGTTGATTGATTGATTGAAATAATTGCATACTATCTTTTTTTGTTGTTGTCATTAGCTGACAGAATCAAGTTTTAAAGATCCAGTTAAATGCCTGGCTATCAACTTGCCAAGAGCTGATCCAGATGGAAGCCATCATCCTAAGAGTCAGACAACTCATTAACTCTAAAGGGACTGCCATGTATTAAAAATTCTCTTTATGGATTGTGATGAGTTGCATTGTTTGATTTATTCTTTTGTATTCAAACTATATTTATGGTGTATCTAGAAATAAAATTACCTTTAAGATATATTTAAAATTTTTCACACACTTTCCTAGAGTTGTCATCTTAATTTACTATTAAAAAGTTGGTTTTTTAAAATCATATGACTTTAGCCAAAACCATGTTCTACACAGTGCAGAAGTGGAATGATATTAAGGAAACTAAATAATAGTTAGTTTATTGAGACAACTATATTCCTTATTACAATAAATGGCCAGGTAACAAGTTAGCTTAATTGGAATTGTAGCAGTATTCTATTTTCTAAACAGTTTTATTTCTTTATACATGACTTTAAATTTTATATATATGTAATATATATAATAGAGTAGATAACTATGAGTTTAAAATTAAAGAAATATTATAAAATCAGCCCATATCTTTTTTCAGAATGCTCTTAATATATCTTTTGGAATAAATGGATAAAGTTAACACATCTAAATTTTTTGTTATAAAATTTTGTTTTTCATATTTTTATATTTTAAGGCAAAATAAGGCATAATGAAGATTTACTTTTCATCTGACTTTGAAATTATTGTTTTGATTGCTTGTGTTCTTAATTCTCAAAGATTTGCCTTCTCACTGATTTAACCTTTATTGATTCTTTTAATTCTCAGTTGTTTTATTTTTACTTTGGGAATAGTTTTCATTTTTTTTTTTTTTTTGCTCTTTCTCTTCCCATAGACTTATTTATTTCTCTGTGAAGGCAAAGGTAGTTGATTTCCCATAGCTTTCATATTGTTTCTTTTTTCCCACCCTTTATATTTTTCTGGTCCCCTGAGTCTCCTCCACCCCGACTACACACCCCACACTTGCTCTGCATTTGCCTCAGTAGACTTCAGAAAATTGTGTATGTCCAATACACGCATGCACACACACACACACACACAGATACACACACCTAATTATTGGGTATGAAACATCCTTTTGGTTTTACAGTGTTTCTCAATTATTACAACTATTACTATATTTTATTTTTTAAATTAAGACTTTATTTAATTCTACTTTTAAAAAAATGGAAAATGAAAAGAGAGAGGAAATTATGCCTCCATAGAAGGGTAGGTTTGTCCAGCTATGGCCTTTGGAGGAGGCACAGCAAAAGAGGGTGGAGAATGGCAAGGTTAAAATTTGTGTTCAAACTTACATATTGGCAGTTTGTCATGCTACTGATGGGCAAGTATTTGGCTTTTTAAATATACTTATCTTACAGTCTGTTTTTTGTTTTTTTTTTTTTTAGAAGAATAAAAGGCCTTACCTATTCAGGATTTGTTATAAAAACTGAAGCTTCAATAAAATTGATAATTTAGCTACTTTGAGTTCGTATAGATGGTAGATGGTGGCCAACCTTGATAATTTATGCAGTTAAGCAAATACTTTTATTACTGCAAGTGTAACCGGGACTCATATGTGCACATGAATGTGTTAAATTTTGAGGATCTCCAGGCCTCTGTTGAAGAATGTTGAGTAATTCCTGCTGTCGTAGGGCTAGTACTTCCTCTTCAAATGATACCGGTCAGCAGAGATCAGTGCTATTTTTTGCTCTTTGGTGGTGATCCAACAACATAAAAAGAGAACATCTGGATTTTTGTCAGTTCCAGTCATGCTGAAAAGATCTCTATAGTATGTGTTTGTTTTTACAGATTCATATACATTCTCCAAATGTTATTTTCCAAGGCAGCCACATATCAAAACCAGGAACTTTATCTCATTTATTGCTAAAACTAAACAAAGTGTCTTTTCAGCTCCCATGCAAAGTTCTAGCCCTGTGAATCAAGTCACTTTTCAAAACACATGTTTCATGCTTGATGTAACTCTAACTCCTCTTGTTCTTGGGAATCATGACACAACTTTGAGAAACCCTCTAAAAATGTCTGTGTTCACTGT
The DNA here is from genome assembly GCF_000001405.40 of Homo sapiens. NCBI lineage: Eukaryota > Metazoa > Chordata > Mammalia > Primates > Hominidae > Homo > Homo sapiens. Next base: position 137,705,270 of record NC_000004.12, on the reverse strand, counting down.
TTAATGATAATTAACAGCTCTTAGGTAGGTTATTTTTGCAGTCTTTGGAAAGAAAAAAACTTAAAAAAGCAATTAATAGTTCTGAAGTAGTTACCATCTCAGAAGTATAAGGTCATAGTTTTATTAACAGAGAGGTTGGAAAATATGGAGAAATAATGAAATGTTCTCTTCTTGTTTAGGCAGTCAATCTTAAATCTAAGCAAGTCAAAAGAAATTTCTGTTTTTCTTTTTTTTAAAGTCTCAAATTCTTCGCTGATTTTTTTAATGGTTTTAATTTATTTTTAAATAAGGACAACTGTTTAACATAAGTGAGTTTGCCAACAATATGACTGCTTCTTCTCCAAAAACTGAAAAGAAATAACCTTAATATTGATAATGGACTTACTGCCTAGAGCTATGTTTCACTCAGTGCAGACTAAGTCAGTGTGAAACAGAAGAAACCAAATTTAAGTGCTTTTTAACACACTTCCAAATCCCAACAAATGGATTGCCAGCTGCCTTAGTCCATTCAGGCTGGTATAACAAAATACCGTAAACTGAAAATAGCTTATAAGCAACAGAGATTTACTCGTCATAGTTCTGGAGGCTGGAAAGTCCAACATCAAAGTACTAGCAGATTTGATGTCAGTAAAGGCCTGCTTCCTGCTTCATAGATGGCACCTTCTAGATGTTTCCTCACATGGTAGAAGAAGCAAGCTAGTTCTCTGGTGTCTTTTATAAGGCCACTAATCCATTATAAAATGTAAAAGTGAAAAAAATCATCTCTGAATGGCCCTACCTGCTAATACACTGATGATCAGTATACTGATGATTAGATTTTGATATATGAATTTTGAGGGGACACAAACATTCAGATTGTAGCACCAATTTAAAGTTCTTAATGTTTGAACATGAACTTAAAACACATTTCAGGTTTTTAATTTAAATCACAAATCTAGAAAGAAATAGATTTTAAATTTCTCTAAGTGCTCAGCCCTAACATGAAATGTATTATTAGCTATCAGTAAGTGATAAATAATAATATTTTCCTGATATATCTGAATATTTTTATATGCCTTTAATAATTTTGCAAATAAATATATGCACCATTATTTAAACATATCTAACATTGTTTCTTGTCCACATGTCTTAAAAACTGACTTCATTTTGGCCAGGAGCGGTGGCTCACACCTGTAATCCCAGCACTTTGGGAGGCTAAGGCAGGTGGATCACGAGGTCAGGAGATCGAGATCATCCTTGCTAACATGGTGAAACCCCGTCTCTACTAAAAACATAAAAAAATTAGCCGGTGGCGGGCGCCTGTAGTGCCTGCTACTCTGGAGGCTGAGGCAGGAGAATGGCGTGAACACGGGAGGTGGAGCTTGCAGTGAGCCGAGATAGAGCCACTGCGCTCCAGCCTGGGTCGACAGAGCGCGAGACTCCGTCTCAAAAACAAAACAAAACAAAACTGACTCATTTTCAGATTTTATTACTCTTACTTTCCTCTCAAAATACTATATAATCACTATATTTTATGATATTTAAATTAGTCAGACTGTCACGATGTCTCTAGATTGGGAAGAATATCCCAGTAACAATGTGACTGAGATTATCAGGTTCTATTAACATTTCACCTGCCGCATGCCAAACACATATGTTAACAGAGGTCCATTTGAATCCTATGTACCACTGTGGCCTGTTTGGTCTTCAATTTGTAGCCAACATATGGTGAGTGGCTTTGGAGAACAGTCTTCAAGCTGCCAGGTTGCTGTTGATGTCTCTGGGCTCACATGCTCCATTTAAGTCATGCAGTTCCAAATTGGAGCCTGAGCCTTGTCTGCTTGTGCTGAAAAGTGAGAAGGTCCAGATTTTTTACAGCTTCTAAGCCTCCCAGACAAGTATAATTATCAGCACTCCAAAGAGCTAGAAATATAAGCCAAATGCAAACAAATTAGGGACTGAGAGCAGAAAAGCTACAGCTGTTGGTTCAAGCTGGGTGCAAAATGGTTTAGGATTTTTAGAAATTGGAGAATAATGTCACCAGAGTGAACTTTCCATGATAAAATGAACTTGCTTTTTAGTACTTTTTCTTTCCAGTACTGGAGAAAATCAGCTCAAGAGGAGAACAGTTTTTAAATAAATATAAATGTTGCAAAAATGGATGGGCGGAAATGGCAACACTTCTGATGAAGTAAATTATATGATAATTTGGTAATTGCAAATTGTCTTGGGGAGAGATAGGCATAACTGATAATAATTACTAATAATTATTTGAAAATTTATGTTCTAACTCCAGAACTAGAAAACCTACTTAATCAGAATTAGAAAGTCTACTTAATGTTTTCTCTCTACAATAGTATTTATTGCTTCTATTATGAATGCATATTTTCTTTCATGCTTATTTATTTTTATTTTTTTGTGAATCTTTCCCAGCTAATCTTGTTCTTTTCTTGAAACATTGCTTGTATGCAGTGACATGCAAAAGAAGGACTTCAGTCAAATTTCCATTTGCATATTGCAACATCCTTTATTCTCTGGTTTGGAGACGTATTTTGTTCTCATGATGTCTTCTGAAGTTTAATTTCTATGGTGATGGGTTTGTTGGAGTCCTGTAGAGCTAGTCAGGCAATGAAGAAAGCAGAGGGGAAATACTCCAGGGAGTGGGGAGGATTATGGTTAACTGAAAACCGTATGCCCATGTAAAGGAAGCTTCCAGTAGTCATCTTCAGCTGAGTTTTTCTTGTAGTTAGATGGAAATGTAAGCCTGGGGATTCAGAAATCTGGATTATTATGAGACATTACATTGTATGATTTTTAAACATTCACAAACACAAAATTATTTTTTCTATTTTTTAAAGAATCCTGTTATTTTTAAAAGTGTTGCCAATACAAAACTGCAAACAAAGCCCTCTTAAGGCCACACTTAGCTTAATGGCCATGAATTTACAGGCTTTGCTCTAAGATTAAACAATCCTTGCTAGAATTTACTCTAACAAAACATTTAAAAATCTGCGCTTTTCCTAAGGAGATGGGCAATTTTTTTCTCCTGTGATCTCTTCTTCTTTGTACATTCTTTACAGGAATTATCTTCAATATCTCATTCACTCTGACCCTTTCAACTGGGATTCAATTAGTAGCCTAATCCCATCAGTTATCCTTCTAAATATCTCTTCCATCTCCAATGTCCTCTTCACCTCCCCTGCCATTGTTTTCAGTCAAGGTCTCATCATTCTTTTACTGGAATCTCATCTATTGATCTTTTTCTTATAATAGGTTACTCTCCTCTATTTCCCATCTTAGGCAGAATGAACTATTATGTCTCTATTTTCTTAGCACCTTCTTCTTCATTCTTTAAGTATGTCTATTTACCCTGTATTCCATATTATTGTTTCCATAGCAGCAGGTCTGAATCTCTTTCTACAAACTCAGTGCAAGAAACTGATGTCAATCTATTTCCCACATTTTCAACTTGACCCCTCCCTCTGTGGGAATATACATCTGAACCCCTCTGGTGGGGAATTCAACCTTCATTATTCTTGAAGACTTTTCTGTCACAAGATTGTTGCCAAGTTTCTGGAGGACTGTAATGTGGTGCTAAGGTACGGTAAGACTTGTTAGTCATCTGTCATTTTAGTTTCTTGGTAAAATCCTTTTTCAGTGTCCACATGGTCTATTGGTGTGACCACTCTGCTGCTTCTGTGCTAGGATTATACAGAGTAGGATTCCCTCTGGGTTTCCCAGAATTGGTCAATTTCTCTAGACCAGCATTTCTCAACCTTTTGTCCCTCTATACAGCTATGTTGTCTACCTGTTAATATGTTATTGTGGCCCTTCAAGAGATTATGGACTATTGTAATACCTAAGATTTTTCTCACCACTCATGAACCAATTTTTGTCCCCTGGAGTGATATCACCCCTGTTGACAATGCATGCCCAGACACAGAAGGCTCTACTTGAGTTGCTGCCAGGGAAGAGGCCCCAGGTTGCTTGGGTCCTAGAACAAGACATATTGTTCCAGCCCATCCCTAGCCTGGGAGATCTGTTTCTGGTTGTTGTAAGCACTTTTCTTGCATCTTCAAGCCATTTTGCACAAAAATTCTGTTTATCTGTTTTTTAAAGCAAGAGAGGGTCAAATGGTAAAAGTGTTGTGGCTTTTTCATTCCTGTAGTTCAATAAGCAGCAGCAACTTCTCTCCCATTGTTCAGCAAGCAGGAGGGAGTTGCACCCAGTTGCTTCTTCACTCCCGTTGTTTGGCAAGTGGGAGGAAGTGTCACAGCTCTTTTATTTCTGCCACCCACAGCTTGGTGAGTAGGAGCATTACAGCTCTTTTGCTCCCACAGTTCAGCAAATTCTGAGTTCCTGTCCCATGACCAAGAGGAATGAGGAACATGGACACCGGAGAATGAGTAAGGCAGAGTAGAATTTTATTCATCAGCGAGAGGGGACCTGAAAGCAGGTCGCCATCTGTGAGGGTGAGTGTGGGGTTTTTATGGGCTTATAATGGGGGAATGCATGCTGATTGGTCCATGGGTGGTCTTGGAAAAAGCACCATTTAATTGGTTAAACGACATCATTCAGAAAGAAGCAATTGAGAAAGAGTGGGTAAGACAAGGATGGAAGTTCTCACTCTGGTCGTGGACTTTAACTGGAACTGGTAGCTCGGCTTTCAGCCTTTAGACTGTCATTAGCTTGAAGGTGGGGTTTCACTAGGGACCCATCTCTGTCTGCCTAGGAATTTGTCTGTCTCCTGTCACTATCAAAATCTCCAAGCAGATGAGAACAGTTTTTTCCTTTTATTATCTTAGGTAGTAAAAAAAAAAAAAAGAATCAAGTGACTCTGCACATTAAAATTGTTTGAAAACTGCCCATGTAGACTGTCAGCCAAATACACATCTGTCTCCCTCTACTAGGCTATGAGCTTTGATAGGGTAGAAACCGTGGTTTTCACATATTAGTAATTCTAATGCTCTGTAAAATTACTGTGCATAATGTTCTTGAATAAATAAATGATCTAGGCCAAGGATTGTCATATTAGTCTACTCTGGCTGTGTGACAAAATACCACACACTGAGTGACTTAAACAACAGAAGTATAATTTGTCAGTTCCAGAGGCTGAAAGTTCAAGATCAAGTTGCCTGCAGAATCAGTTTTTGAGAAGGCCTTTTGTTTGGGTTGTAGATAGCTGTTTTCTGGCTGTGTCCTCATATGATCTTTCCTCTGTATGTACACAAAGAGAAAAAGCAAGAGAAAGAGAGCAAGGAGGAAGGAGAGAGAGCACTAGCTCCCTTGTGTCTCTTCCTCTTCTTCAAGGACACCAGTCCTATTGAATTAGGGATCCATTGTTTTGACCCTCTGTTACCTAAATTTTCTCCTTATATGCTGTATGGCCAAATACTGTCATACTGGAGCTTCAACATATGAATTGGGGCAGGCAGAAGGTGGGTAGGAACATCAAAACGCAATGGGCAACTTTTTAAATTAAATATTTAATTTAAATTTAACAGGTAACTTTCTACACTTAAAAAATTGGACAGCTTTTTAAATAAAGGGACAGATATACAATATTTTATATTCTGCAAACTATATACAGTCTCTGTTACAACTACTTAACTCTGCCATTGTAGCATAAATAAGTGTGCTGTATTCCAATAAAACTTTATTCATAAAATGAGGCAGGGAGCTAGATTTCCCCTACAGACTATGGCTTTGCTGACACAGATATAAAATTGTTAAACTTTCTTACCCACCTACACATCTATCCGTTTTTATAAGTAAATCTCCTCTTGCAATGTTTTGATGATTTTCTGTTACCTCTAGAATATGGCATAAACTCCTAGGCACAGAAGTCTTTTTATATTGAGTCAGGAAACTTCTTTCCTACTCTGCAAACAATGTTCATTTAAAAAAAAAAAGCATCTTCATAATCCATGCCTTTCTCCAGAGTATTTATTTTCTGTCTGGAATCTCTCTCTCATTCCCATCACTGCTCCTGCCTATCTACCTGGAAAGCAACCACCTAGACTCTGCCATCTTTTTTTTTTTTTTGAAACAGGGTCTCTGTCACTCAGGCTAGAGTGCAATGTTGCTATCTTGGCTCACTGCAACCTCCTCTTCCAGGCTCAAGTGATCCTCTGACCTCAGCCTCCCAAGTAGCTAGGTTCACAGGCACACACTACCACGACGGGCTAATTTTTTAATTTTATTTTTTGTAGAGATGTGGTTTTGCCTTGTTGCCCAGGCTGGTCTCAAACTCCTGAACTCAGGTGATCTGCCACCTCAGCCTCCCAAAGTGCCTGGATCACAGGCGTAAGCCACCACTCCTGGCCAGCTCTGCCATATTTGAAGCAGCTCAAACTCCAGAGTTTTGTTTTTCCTCCTCTTTCTCCTCCTTCTCCTTCTCCTCCTCTACCTCCTCCTCCTCCTTCTCCTTCTTCTTACTCTTCTTCTTTATTTTTTCCCCCAATAACATAACATAGAACCTTCATTTGATCATTATCCACTCACCTTCCCTTATGCTTTGTGAAACTCTTGGGCACTTCTGTATTACCAGCTAGTACTAGCATTTTGAGAACATCCTAGGAATACTATGTATTTTTTTGCAGCTGGAATGTGTTCTCTGACTAGAATTCTATGCTCTAGACCGGTGGTTTTCAACCAGGGTTAATTTTGCTCCCCTCCCCACAGGAAATTAGGCAATGTCCTAAAATATTATTGGTTGTCATAACAGGATGGAGAATAGGTGTGTTGCTACTGACATCAAGTAGATAGTGCTTAGGGATTCTTCTAAACATTTTACAATGCACTGGACCACCTTCCACAACAAAGAATCATCGACCCAAAATGTTAGTAGTGGCAAAGTTGAGAAGCCATGATTTAGGCTGCTCAAAGATGTTTCTTTCCATAAAATTAGCTGGTACTATAACCACTCTCTTCGATGATTTCTCATTGTATTAGCATGGGTTTGTATGGTTTTCACACTGCTTAACTCTGTATCTACCCATTTATTTTCATACTAACCAGTTCTGATGACATGCTTATCTTAAAAGGATCAGAGTAATAAGAGATTTTAATGGAGGTCATGAAATAGTTGTAGGGGAGACAGAGGAATATTTGACAAGGAGCATATTGACAAGGAGACAGAGAGATATTTGACAATATGTCCTACTCACAACTAGTAAATTCATCCAAGTTTCTATCATCATGCTGGGGCACAGCAGGTCTGCTTCTGCACAGACTTGGAGTTTTGGGATGAACGTACCAATTTAGAATTATTTCAGGATAAATTATGTTATGATTTGAATGTCTCCTCCAAAATTCATGTTGAAACCTAATCCCTATTGTAAAGATAGAAAGAAGGTGAGAAATCTGACTATAGTATTTGAAAGGTGGCACCTTTTGGAGATGATTAGGATTAAAAGCAGTCATAGGAGTGAGAGGCAATAGTGGCTTTCTAAGAGGAGACAGCTCTGAGTAGCAGGCTTGACCCTCTTGACCTGTGACATCTTCCACCATGTTATAACACAGCACAAGGCCCTCACCAGAAGCCAACCAGATGCAGCCACGTGATCCGGCACTGCCCAGACTCCAGCACCAAGAGCCAAATAAGTACCTTTCTTTATAAATTGCCCAGTCTTGGCCGGGCATGGTGGCTCACGCCTGTAATTCCAGCACTTTGGGAGGCTGAGGTGGGCGGATCACCTGAGGTCAGGAGTTTGAGACCAGCCTGGCTAACATGGTGAAACCCTGTCTCTACTAAAAATACAAAAAAAATTAGCCAGGGATGGTGGTGCATGCCTGTAATCCCAGCTACTCAGGAGGCTGAGGCAGGAGAATCGCTTGAACCTGGGAGGTGGAGGCTTCAGTGAGCCAAGATCATGCCACTGCACTCCAGCTTGGGCAACAGAGCGAGCCTCCAGCTCAAAGAATAAAAATAAAAGTAAAAGTAAGAAAATAAAGAAATTGTCCAGTCTCAGGTATTCTGTTATAGTAATGGAAAATGAACTAAGGTAAATTAAGAGTTAATACTTCCCTTCTATGTCTTGGAGTTCAGAGTAATAGAATAAAATTAAGAAATTCTTTGTGGAACATAGAAAAAAATGTTTAAAAATAGAATAATATAAATAACTAATGTAAAAAAGTAAAATACGAATAAATCAATACTTTTTTTTGAAAGAAACAAAGAAAGAATTGGTAAATTGGGACAGGAAAAAATGATGGAAGGAAGGAAAGAAGAAAAAAGGGGAGAAAGGAAGGAAGGAAGAAAACAACTGGTGAATTGGGACAGAGACCATGAGGTCTGGAGTCAAGCAGAGGCAAGAGCAGGTTTAAGTTCTGAATTAATTAATTAATTAATTAATCTATTTATTTGAGACGGAGTCTCGCTCTGTCACCCAGGTTACAGTGGCGACATCTCGGCTCACTGCAAGCTCCGCCTCCCAGGTTCACGCCATTCTCCTGCCTCAGCCTCCGAATAGTTGGGACTACAGGTGCCTGCCACCACGCCCGGCTAATTTTTTGTATTTTTAGTAGAGACGGGATTTCACCGTGTGTTAGCCAGGTTGGTCTCCATCACCTGACCTCGTGATCCGCCCGCCTCGGCCTCCCAAAGTGCTGGGATTACAGGCATGAGCCACCGCACCCGGCCTTAAGTTCTCAATTTAGTGAGTGGTATCACCTTGGACCTTAGACATGTTTCTTATTTTTTTCTCATTCTTTACCTCAAAAAAGGAGATAGTATTGTTATGGAAATTAGATAAATATATACAAAAAATATCAATCGTTGTGTGTGGAACGTAGAAAATGTTAAATACATGTGTAAAAATAATGTTTGACAATCTTTAGAGCATAACTTCCTTGAAATAATAGAATGTTTCTAAGATAAGGTTTTTTAGAACAAGGCAGACCAGAGATATATTTTCTATGAATATATTTGTGCTGGTAGCAGTGAAGTTAATAAAAATCTCTTTTTTCCCCTTTCCCTAAAATAAACCAAGGATTTTAAGTGAACCCCCAGTTCAATTTCTTTCACTGACAGTTCCACTTTTTAAAGGAAAATACATTAAAGACAGATGCTGTTACTTTCTGTTACCCCATTAGTCCATGCCAGTATCACCTGTCACCTAGACAACGCAGGCTCCTGAGGTATGCATTTTTTTTTTTTTTTTTTTTGAGACGGAGTCTTGCTCTGTGTCCCCCAGGCTGGAGTGCAGTGGCGCACTGAGGTGTGTTTTTTATTACTTCCCTGCTTCTCCTTTTACTCTCTTTCAGCTTAAAAAAAAATCCTGTTTTAAAAGGCATAAATCTATTAATTTGCCGTCTGTTTAAGAGTCTTCAATAGCTTTTGTAATGCAAATAAAATGAAAATTCTTGTCGTGGTTCCCAAGGACTTGTTTGGTTTCAGTCCTGACTTCCTATTCACCATCCACTCATGTGCCCACCTCTGCTGCTTTCTCAGCTCCAGCGGCGACAGCTTCTTCAAGTTCTTGATGCTGTTCAAGTGCATCAAAACATGCTCTTCCCCACAGCCTTTGCAGAGACTCTTTTCTCTGCTCTTCGTAAAATTGACTTCTTATCCTTCATGACTCAACTTAGAAGTCAGTTAGTTGAAGACTTTTACACTACTCTTCTAAAGTAGATTCTATAATGCTGATCTCAAAATCGGCACTATTTTATCCCCCTTTTTACTTAGCATAGAACGAACTCATATGTATGTTAAATTGCTAACCTACATATATTTTTAATTCCCCACTAAGCTATAAACTCCATGAAGGCAGAGAACATGTGTGTGCAGTTTACAACCATACACCTACAATCTATCAGCATGTCTGAGAAAAAAATACTGATTACATCAATACTGATTGGATGAATGCATAAATGAGTAAATGAGCAATTAGAAATAACTCAGGATATAGTATCTTCAAAATTTATCAAACGTTTCTTGGACTTGGAGTAGGCAGAAATGGAGAGTTGTAAAACCGATGTTTTACAATGTCTCAGTTTCATTTCAAGTGTTGGTTTTGAAATTCTTAATAAAAATGCATGAGTAGCAGCATAAAAATATGATTCAGTATTTCCTTCCTTGAGGGCTTCTTTGTATTTATAGATAACTATATGCCTTGTAACCAGTAAATTCTGGCTGAGTTATAGGTTGTTTTAAAGAAAGTATTCTATAAATACAAGATGGTTTTTGTTTACTTCTTATTCTTAGCTTTCTATCTTGTGTGTATATAGAATACTTGTGTATTGTTCCATATAATTCAGGTGAGACAGTTATTAATTTTCTTAATCTGAAATTTGAATTGTGTCACAGTAACATTTTGATATCAAAATAATTCTGAAAATCCTAACTTTATATAGCTTAAAAGTACTTTGTCATTGTTGTTGCATCTATTATTTAAAACAAAACTCTGTAGAACAAATGTTATTAACATACATAAAAAATGAGGCTCAAAAATGTTTAAAAAACTTGTTAAGTCACGCAGTTATTGAGAGACAGGGACAGTAATAAAACTCCAATCAGACTGTAAACTTCATGTTTATTCTTCCACATGACAGCTATCTTTCCCTACGAATGCATATCTTTCTTTATAAATACATATCACCTATGATCAGTAAAGAGAATTTTACCATGACTTTGAAATTAATAATTTGTTTTTCCTATGCTGTGCTACATTTTGTAAAACCAGTCAAATTTCTTAACAGATATTTTATAGAACTATCAATTGGATGATAGCCACCATGTACGTATTTTTGAAAACAATACTGCGGCTTCTCAGCTACTTTAGATCATATGGAAGACAGAAAAAAGTATTAGACATAGATGCTGAATTTGATGAGATTAAGTTGTATTAATTTTTATTCTCCAAGTGTTTGTTGTTTCATGCTACATGAAAAAAGCACTGTGGCCCAGCCAAGAGAAACACAAAGCATGCCAATGTGCTTGCACTTGAACTGGTGAAACAAATTTTAAGTACATGACATTTCCAAATAAGAGCACAGAGCAGTGTGTGAATACTTGAAAAAAAATCCTGCTGGAAATAGGGTATTGCTGTGGAAATTCAGAAGAGGAATAGATTAGTGTGAATAGCAGTGGATGATGTGGAATTTGAGTTATACTTTAAAAGTCAGAAGGTAGAAGAAGTCTAGGTAGATAACGGAATGAGTTGGCAGTCTATGGTAGGAACATCTCACTAATATCTCTTCTTAGGGACTTCAGAGAATTTATTTTAGAATATCTCTTAAGTATGAAAGAATCATAAATCAATTACAAAGCACTATGAGATAATATATACTATTAAATTGTATCGATGCTTCAGCATATAAAGTTGTAAAACCTGGGTTCCTTTAGAATTAGGCACTAATGTTAAATATTGTGCTATTCATATATCTTTAATGAATATGCTTTCCTACACAATATTGCATCTCTTTAGGTCAGCTTTTGGTCCAGTGACTCACTCACAGAAACTCCAAGACAGATTAAACTAGCAAGAGTTGAATATCTGAATTTCCAAAATTATGAGGCTACAAAAAGAAGCATAGGTACTCATAAGACAAACTTATTCACTAATTAGTTACCTATTTATAAAATTAGCCCCCAAATGGTCTTAATATATTTGTAGAGCTATACATTGATAATTGCAAACTGTTTTACACTGCTGAAAATGCAGTGGAAAATAATGCAAATAGATAGCTAAGTGAAATATGCCAATTTGAAAAGAAATATAAAATTTCATGAAATCAACGAAAATGTTGGAGAATATTTCAGATTGCACATGGACTTTTAGTATACATATGTAAAGACATGTATAATTCTCTATGTTTATATATAAAAAAGGGTATATATATATATACAAACTATAATTTATACACAAAAAGTTGGTTTGGGCATATTTCATTTTAATATTCACAGTTTTACAAATGACTTAACAGTTCATGAAATTTTATAATATGTAACGAGGATATTCTACCATAGAAGCATATGTTGTTTTATTGATTAAATAAAATTAAAAGTTGATTTATTGGTTATAGATGTAGTGTATGTAACCTATCTAAGAAGGAATTGGAAGAATTTGAATAGTACACACTTAACCTATTTTCCAATATTTACATTATAATTATTTATTTGATAATTGCCTTTGGGAGGAAGAAAAAACATAAGAATGCATTCCTTATAAATGTCAAGAGGCTCACCTATATATTTATGAAAAAATAATTTGCTAACCTTATCTGTCCTATTTTGTGACAGGGTTAAATCATACCCTAGTGGTCTTAAAAAATACTTTTTATCATCAACTGTCTAACACTAATAAAATTACAGAGTGCGTGCCTCTGTGTGCATGTGTGTGTGTACACATGTACATGTGTGTAAACTTATTTTTATCTCCTGTGAAATCTGAGTTATCTTTAAAGCTTCCAGAGTAGGGATTATATGGAATTGGTGTTCAGTAGAATATGCCAAATTAAACCGTTTTTTATAATAAGCTCTTTTATTTTAATACACTGTTGTATTAAAGGTGTGCTAAACCTTTAATACACCTTTATGTTAAGTGTAAGAGCACTTAAGAGCACTCAAGTGTAAGTGCTCTTTGGGGAGCACTCCTCAAGGCATTAGCAGCCCCAACATCAGCCAGTCACCTTTGTGTATTAAAATAAACACATTTCGCAAATACTCATATAATACTATTTTAGGTGCTATGTGCTTACAAATATTAATTCATTTAATTTTATAACAAGGCATAAGATACTTTCTATTCTCATCTTCATTTTACAGACCATGAAACTGAAGCACAGAAAGATAAAGCAATTTATATGAGGTCATAAAGTTAGTAAAGGGCAAGTTCAAACACAGGCATCTGGCTCCAGTGCCTTTTCCCTAAATCATCAACCAGTTATTTGATCTGGTAGTTTACTTTGAAAAGTAGTAAAATGAATTAAATTCCACTTTCTTCTCTTATTACAGATTAAAGTTAGGACCAAATGCTGCTCAGAAATTGTTTTAATCTCAAAAGTAGTTGGCAAGTTTTCAGAGTTCATTTTCAAGGCCTGGTGTATGGTAAGTTTCCTTATAATGAGTTCTCTAACATGTTTGGCTTTACTTGGGTGACAGCTTCAGGGAAATATTATGACCCTGTTTCTAAGACTGATCTTTCTATTTAGCTTCATAAATTGCTTGATGTCAGCAAGGACATAAATATAATCTTTAGGTTTTGTGGAAGATGGTATCTTGAATAAATTTCCAAAAGCCTTTTAGAAAATAATGAACAACAAAACTGACTTTTCTTTGGTATTTATAGACAAGCACTAAAGGCAATGTCATCTACAAACTCAGAGGTAAATAACCTCAAAGAGGCTTTCAGCACACTCCAGAAGTATAGTAAGAAAAGCAGCAATCTGGGAAGTTCTCAGTGATGAGGTTACCATAAGTATAATCCAAAGTTCAGCAACAACCCTCTAGTTTCTGTTCATGTTCTTTGCAATCCAGGGGCTGTTCTAAACTGTCATCACACTCCTCAAGCCATTAGCAACCTCAACATCAGCAAGTGATATGCCCTACTTCTCCCCAGATAAATTATGATATTGAGGATGACCTTCTCTTCCCTGCTTCTGCCCCTGGACTTTGCATACAACCAACTCTGCCCATCAGGGAGGTGTAACTGTGGCTAAAACGTCATGTGCTAAAAATTCCTTCCCTATTTATCCTCCTATGTCTTGCCCACCAAATTTTTGTCTTCCTATTTCTCTTTAATCCTTTCCTTTTCAGTGATTTCTTTCCTTTGGAACATAAACATATTTCTTTACCTCAAAAGTCAAACCCCTGACTTGATCCTGTAGTCTCCTCTAACTACCTTTCTCTTTCTTTCCACTTATGCTTCTGGAAATGTTGTCACAATTTTCTGTCATGTTTTTCTCTTCCCATTGAATTTTGATTCTTCTGCTGTGTGGATTTCCTCCTTGAAATCTTCAGTGAAACAACTGAACATTCAGAGCTATTTCATTTTCAAAGATTCTCACATGTGAGTATTCCTCTTTCTGAATATAATCCCCTTTCTATCTCTTTAATTTTGTTCTTCCATCAAAACTTCTCTTTCAACACAGGCTGAGATTAAAGTTTATTTCTTATGGCTTCTGAGACATCTCTCCCTAAGAGAGCAGAAAGGCCTATTCATGTTAATATGTCCAAATCAAACCCACTACACAGATGTACTCTCAAACCTACATCTTTATTTCCTATCTCAGCTAATGAGATAACAATCTCTCCCTCTCCCAAAGTAGAGACCTTGGATCCATCTTTAATTATTTCCTAACTCTAATTATTAAATCCAATCATACACCAAAAAATGATGTTCTGAATACTCTCTCTTTCATTTGTGCACTCCTTCTTTGTCGTATCTCTCCTGGACTAAAATAATAGTTTCTTGCAGGGTGTTGAATAGTGTCCCCTAAAAAATCATGCCCACCTGGAACCTCAGAATGTGACCTTATTTGGAAATCGGGTGTGCAGATGAAATTAGTTAGGGATCTCAAAATGAAGTCACTGTATTATTATTGTAGATGATTATGTACACTAAGTTCAAGGACTGACGTCCTTATAAAAAGAGAGGGTACACACACAGCCAACAGAGAGAAGAAGGTCATACGAAGACACGCAGAATTTGGACTTATGCGGTCACAAGTCAAGGAGTGCTTGGAGCTACCGGGAGATGGAAGAGTCAAGGCAGGATTTTCCCTGGAAGATTTGGAAGGAACATATTTCTCCTGAAACCTTGATTCTAGCCTTCACTAATGACAGAGAATAAATTTCTGTTCTTTTAAGCCACTCAGTTTGTGGTACTTTGTCTTACAGAAACCCTGGGACACTAATAAATTTCCTAAGTGGTATACATAACATCTTCTAACATTATGATTCTATGGAATGCTTTGATAATCAGCTAAAAGTTATCGGCTGTCTCCCAGGAAAGATGCACAAACATACATATTCAACATTTTGTGTTCAATTTTTCAAGTTTCCAGGATTTCCAGGGCCTCTCTACAGATCCTCTTCGTATCTACACAGCTGATTGTGAACTCTGTTCTTATACAATGTATCCAAAGTAAATTAACTACAATACAACTGTGATTATGCCATTCCAAATTATAAATATTAACATCCTTTCTGAACTACAAGACCCTCTACAGTATGACTGCATTTGTACATACTGCAGCTCTCCTGCTGAACCATCCTTTGTTCTTATCATACCAAACACATACGTTTCCAGGACACACTATGCCTCTGTGCCTTTGCACATGCTATGCGCTGCCTGGGACTCCCTAACTTCCATCTGCACATAACCTTCTAATGAATTTCCAGGCATTCTGGAAGTTTTATATCACTCATTTTATCTATGAATCAAATGATCTCACTGACAAAGTATTATGTTGCTTTTACAACATGATTCAAGTCCTTGACTGTGACGTATTCCTGAAATACAAGGTGCTTTATTTTGAGTGTAAGAAAATTTTAATTATAATATTATATTGTAATATGTGGTTTAAATTTCTATATGCATGCATCATATTTCCAATTTCTTACAGAAAAGAATTATTATAATTGTATAATATATAATGTATAACACTAAATATACTATAGTATTAAAACTATAGGCTTTTATTTCAATTGGTGAAGATTAAAATCTTAGAATCATGATCTGTGGGCATTCTGACCTTGACTAAATGCATACACTTTATGTATCTAAGCTTTCTTCACTGTAAACTGGTAAAAATGCACTTAATTCAAAAAATTGTGAGGATCAAAGTAAAGTCTAAAACTTTAGTACGGCATCAGGTATGTAGTAAGAATTAACTTTACAGTGGTTATATTTAGCAAATCTTATTAGTTTATACATTTATAAGACTATAGCAACATGTCTTAGTTTATAAGTAATACCTCAAACCCTTTATTTTCCTGGTAATTTATCCACTGAAGAAAGTGAGCTTTGTTGATTGCATACTCATGGTTCAGTTCGATGTGGTCATTTTTCTCTTTACATTCTGCTAAATGGCTGCTGGATTTAGAGATTTTCATCCCTTTGACATGGTTATAGATGATTATAGATAGTATCTGGAAAGATCTATTAAAAAATGCTATCTGGTTGTCTATCTTTTTGTGATTTTAGTAGCCATTAATGCTACTACTTGTATCTATTAATTCATTGGCAGTTGCAATATGAAAGTATTCTAATGCTATCACTTCTCTTTTTTATTATTATCTGAGATGTTGTTATACAGAGACACATTCCAGCATCAATTATGTGGTAATCCAGTGGTTGATATGGGAAGGCAGTGTGAATGTTTATTTTTTTAAATGAATCTAAAGGGGACTGGTTTGTTTTAAAATAAAATTATGAACACATGGCTTTACACATGTTTGATGGGTTTAAGTCCTTTGCAGTTGTTATCAACATTTAAGCTCAAATTACTCCATCCGCAGCCAATGGAAACCTCTTGAAGTTGGCACCTGAGTTCCTTTGGCATAACCCTGTTAAATCTTTGACAATTTTTTTGTTATCTGGTATAAGATGTGGCTCATATTGAACATGTCCTGCTCCAGAACTGGAATTAGCCATTTCTTTTTCAGGAAACACTGTTTTATTTTAGTGGGAATGTTACATAAGATCTTTGAACCAGATACAAGAGATATTTACTGTTAATGATTTGATCATGGTTTCTAGGCCCTTTCAGTGGACTGAGCAAGGAAACAACTGCACTTGTATGCAAAGATAACAAACCTTATGAGATCATATTGATTCCAATTCAAAATCAGGACTACAGAGCCTTTATTTTACCTCTTCTCAATGACATCTAAGCATCCTTCCTTTCATAGCAAGAATCCTGGTTCTCAAGGATACACATAACTGCTTGCTTGTTTTAAGCCTATATTACACATGCCAGTTGCAAAATAATCACATTAATGCTATTATTAATATAATTATAAAAACATGAATAACTTTTGCATTTATTTTCCCTGTTCTTCCGTCATTTAAAAACAATTATCCTATATTTAAAAGAGTACATGACCAGGGCCTACTATGCTCACTACTTCTTAAACCGCATTTAGTTTTCATTTCAGATCTTTGCGCTCATTTATGTATTGATGTCTCTCTAGTTGTTTTGGTTATATAAAGTATATGTTCTCGTCAATCACTTAGGAAGTCCTCAAGGAACAACATTCTCTAATTCTTTCATGTTATTAATAACAACAGTTTTTCTGTGTTCTTAATACTCAAAAGTCGCTTTTTCTGAATATAAAATTATTTGCTCACTTTCTTTCCTTGGTTTTCTTTAATAAATTTCTCATTTTATTCAGCATAAACCACTGTTGTTAAAACGTCTAATGATAGGTCTGGGCACGGTGGCTCAAGCCTGTAATCCCAGCACTTTGGGAGGCCAAGGGGGGCGGATCTCCTGAGGTCAGGAGTTTGAGATCAGCCTGGCCAACATGGTGAAACTCTGTCTCTACTAAAAATACAAAAATTAGCATGGCATGGTGGCACGTGCCTGTAATCCCAGCTACTGGGGAGACTGAGGCAGGAGAATCACTTGAGCTGGGGAGACGGAGGTTGCAGTGAGCCGAGATAGCACCACTACACTCCAGCCTGGGCCACAGAGCACGACTGTCTCAAAAAAAAAAAAAAAAGAAAAAGAAAAAAAAAGAATGCCTAATGATAAATTGTACATTTATATTTTTAAGGCCCCAAATATTTTTTCTTTTTTAGAAAGACCAATAATTTTATGAGACTATGTCTTGATGTTGGGGTCTAGTGTGCTTCCTCAACATGTAGATTAAAATCTTTCATTTCAGGGAAAGTTTATTGTTCTGTAATGTTTACGTGGATTAATTACTTTTTGTGGTTAGCCTGTTCTCCCATTTTAGTTGTCTTCTTAGGGACCCCAACTATTCTTATGCTGGTTAGTTTTTATCATTATTTTCTTAATAACTTTTGATATTTTGATCTGCTTTATTGAGTACATCTTAAGAGTACGCTGTAATTGTCAGTAGGGATCTTATTCTCTTCTTTCTTTCTGTAATTTTGTATAGGGTTTGACCTCAAACTTTTCTCTTGTTTATTTTTGTGTAAGATTTTCTTGGAAGTTTAGAATTAGGAAACATTCTAACTTCACAGGGGTTCTGTTCTCTCTCTCTCTCTTGCTCTCTCATGGTGACATAAAATTACATGACAGCTTGTTTTCTGTGATTTCCTGGCTCTGAGGGCTCCAACATTTTGATGGAACATTTCACCTTTTTTTCTGATATTCGTGTCTTGTTCCATTTTGATTTTGCTCACAGCATTGTCCGTTTCTTAGAAAGGAATCCTGATAGGTCACTCTTTAGGGTTCATAGAGGTGGAGCTTCTCCCGCCCCTTCGGTCATTCTTACTGTCAGCCCCCTGCACTCACCTGCTGTAAAGCGCTGCCCCCTTCCATCCTAGTTTCATCCCTGCACACTTCCAAGTTTTATGTCTTCGTCTTTTCTGGTGCCTTGGACGCTACTCTGTTGATTCTGTTTTTTGCTTCCCACATAGTTGCAAGTACTTTGTAGGATTTGTTTATTCCAGTCAAGATTTTGGTGCTCCTAGGCGTATCTTGTGGCCTAATTTTGTTGTAAATGTTGCCCAGTGATTTTGATTTTACGGTTGAGTTTTCTACCGTTATATTAGTTTCCTATGGCTGCCGTAACAATTTACAACAAATTCAGCCACTTGAAACAACACTTTATTGTCTTAGAGATCTGGAGATCAGAAGTCCAGCATCAGTCTCACTGGGATAAAACCAAGGTGTCTGCAAAGCTGTATTGCTTATGGGTATTGCCTTTTCCAGTTGCCAGGCTGCCAGAGTTCCTGACCTCCTGGACTTTTTCTTCATCCTTCAAAGGCAGTAGCATAGTGTCTTCGTAGTTTACTTTGACTCTGACACTTCTGTCTCTCTCTTTCCTCGTGATTATATTGAGCCCACTGGATAATCCAGGATAATCCCCCATCTCAATATCTTTAATTTAATCATATCTGCAAAATTCCCTTTGCCACATAATTTAACATATTCACAGGTTTTAAGGATTCGGTTATAAACATCTGTGGGGGGTCTTTGTTTTATCTACCACAGTGGGTATTCAGTAAGATTTTTTAAAGTTGCTGCCACCATCTTCCAAAAATCCTTGCCTGAACAATTATTTATTTTTTCATTATAACTAAATACTGATGTACACTGACATTTTGAAAGAAGAATTTTGAATATCACAATTCTATCATGCTTCCCTTAAATATAAATTTCTGTCTAATGCAATATGTGCTATTTTATCATATCTTACACCTGGAAATATTTTAAGCAAGGATATGAAAAGTGAGATGCTAAATGTTGTTGTGTGTGTGTTTGTGTGTGTTCGTGTTTGTGTGTGTTTACAAACTGTTGACTCTGACATGGTTAAGATACTTTACTATAAGAAGATAGATTTAAATGAAACAAGCAGAGTGATTAAAGTTTGCAAGTCACTAAATAATGCCCATGAAAAATCATTTCTTCTGCATGTGGGTCATAGATGAATGGCAATGGAAAAGCTATGCCTCCTATGTCTTGTCTGAATTAACGCTCTTCTGAAGAGGGACGTGGAAGTCATTCAGGCTTGCACATTCTTTAATTTCTTTTATTAAGGCCTGCACAAAGTCAGTGTAGCTAGAAGGCAATACACAGGCTTTCAGAAACTACAAAGTGTAACAGCTGGTCCCAATTACCCTCTGCAGTGTGACCATATGCACAAATGTTCAACTTTCTGTTTAAGTTCATGAATTTAAAAAAAAAATGAATTCCTTGTAAAAACTTGAGACGTGCTATGTTCTTTGCATACATTTATTCATACAAACTTTTAACCTTCTAGTTATAATCAAATGTATGGAGAAAGTAGCTCAAATAAGACAGTGTTTAAGCTGGCAGAACAGAAATATTTTTAACTTTAAATTAAACATACAATGCAATAGTTTTTAAAAAGTTATCTTCCTAGAACAAAACACATTTCAGGAAGCATGGAGTTTTAAAAGATTCATTTAATGAAGAAATTGAGTAATCTTGCATTAAGCATAAAGGCAGATAGGTAACTTTTATATCAGCTGATTAAGACTAATGAGATTTGGCATTTCCAACTCCAGTGACCTTTATGAAAATCATAGGCTGTCTCTTAAATTCATCATATTGAACTAGAGATAACAAATATACATGCTGAATTGACCTTTTTAATTGCAATCTGAAGTTGAAAATTACACCTTTTGATCTTCTTGGTTTGAAGTTCAAAGTAGGTGTTTAATACTACAGAGGGCTCAGTTAATTTGAATTCTTAACTTTCTGTACGAACCATTATGCTTAAGGTCCATTTATATTATCTGTCGTAATGAGTGAAATGTAGCTAGCACCAATAAGGTGGCATTCATTAACACTGAAACTTATTACCTAACATGTATCACAATTGTATATATCTTATTTTCTTAAGTGGGAATATAGCAATTTGTACAGTGTAGGAATATGCATCAACTCTTTAAGTTAGTGACAAAATGATAATAAAATGCATCTTCTGATCAACTAAATGACATTATGGATAGGTAAGGAGAAATTATGTGCTGTTTTGAAAGTAGAATGTTTACCATATTTAAGAAATGAACCATGTGAGTAAGAATGAAGAGTATGTTTATAAAGGTTAGAAGTTCCCTAATCTCCCTCTCTTATAAATTTTTACAATTTTAAACAAATGTGTTTCTCTGAAAAAAAAATTTAAGTAGCTATTCAGGAGCATACATTTGTAGCTGCAATTATATATTATAAAAATAATGGTAAAATGGATCCTGCTTAAAATATCCCTAGTGTTAATTATGATTTATTAGTTTGCATAGTCTGGAAAAGGAGAAATATAATGATCAAACCTCCTTTCCAAACACATTTTATTATAGTTACTATTAATTTGGAGGCCGGGAAGTGAAAATAAATTGCTGGAAGGCAAATGAATTCCCATTTGTGTGGTATGGGCTTTTTCCATTTGCACAGTTTCATCATCATAACAAAACATATTAATATGCATACTGTTTGTATGACATTTTGTTAAACTGGATGAATGAATATTTATCAAAATCCAACTATCTAAACTTTATTAGGGCCAGGCATGGTGGCTCATGCCTGTAATCACAGCACTGTGGGAGGCTAGGGCGGGCGGATCGCTTGAGGTTAGGAGTTCGAGACCAGCCTGGCGAAAACCCTGTCCCTCCTAAAAATACAAAAATTAGCTGGGTGTGGTGGCTCATGCCTGTAATCCCAGCTACTCTGGGAGGATGAGGCAGGAGAATCACTTGAGCCCGGGATGTGGAGGCTGCAGTGAGCCCAAATTGCACTACCACACTCCAGCCTGGGCGACAGAGCAAAACTCTGTCTCAAAAAAATAAATAAAATTTAAAAAAAAAACTTTATTAGAACATTTCACTGACTTTTCACTATTGACAGAATCAAACATTAGTTATCCAAATGGTACTAACCTGTCCTAGGAATAGAGTTTAAAAGTGTTTGAACCACCTAATGATACCACATTCTGGCGTTGTGATAAAACATGCTTCTCTAATTTCTTCAATATCTAAAGTACTAACCCATTTGAAAGGATCAGACATAATACCATGCACAAGACTAGAAACGTTTTCTGCATATTTTCTGATATGTTGAATTTTTATTTAGTTTTTATAACTAAAGGGCTATTTTACTTAATACAAATTTCACCTGTAGGTTGTTAACAATCACTTAACCTCTTTAAACTTTTAGCTGTTCTAAAACTAAAGAATAACTAAGATTGCTCCAGCTATGTTATTCTATGATCTGTAAAACTCAGTACAACTCTGAAAGTTGAAAAGGCCCTTCAATCATCAGCTGAATCTTTCAGCATGCAACAGAAGTATGAACATTAATGATCTATTTAAGATTCACTGTCAGAAATATTTTAGGCTGACAGAAAACCATCTAATATTTTATGTCGGTATATTTTAGTAATAGATGATGACACAACTTCAACTAATGTGTCAAGCACAATATTTAATATTCTTCTGGGAAGATTATTTCAAATTATAAATCAAAATCAAAATAAACAACAGTGCTTCACTTGAAAATCATAAATATCTGTCAAATGCCAATGAATGGTTTATTATGCAGAAGTCAAATATTGATAGATGGAGTGACTTGTACAGTTGTTATAGCTATTTTCAAAGCTGTCCATTCTTAGAAGACCCTCAATGTGATCAATAAGCATATTAATAGGGCAACCAAGAACTGTAGGAAACCTTTTTTTATTTTTTCACCTCTACTACTCTCCTCCACATTTTTTGTTATAAAGTGTTCTGTTTCCTATTTGTAATATATTTCAAACAGAGACTTAAACTTCTCATAGCCTAAAGGAAAAACAAAAACTTTTGGAATAGCTGTAGTTGTAAGTCAAGGGTACCAGGGGGAAAACAGTTGCTTGCATCTTATCTCTTCCTCTAAACATTCAGGCAAGACCCATTCATGTCGATGAGGACAGAACAGCTCGAGCCTCTTGGCAACTCTATGCTATCATTGCATCTCATTGCAAAGCAGACAATATTTATGCTTACATTCTGAAAAAATAAAAGAAAAGACTACCTTTGATAAAAGATATCTGCATTAGAATTACTGAATTATCCAATCTGTGTACTGCTGATCTTCATCACTTCATTCTGATTTACTTTTACCCTATGATTGAACAAATCAAACAGTTATTGGTGTAATCCTCTCCCACTTTTTTAATCTAGTAAAGGAGAAATGGATGCCCTGCACCTCTTAACTCACAAATATACAAATTACATGGCATTAAATTACATTGATTTTGAAATAATGTTAATAATGCGACATGATTCATATAATTTAAGAGGCTAAGGGATCACATTGTTGGCAACACATGAAAAAATTAATGTTATTATTGGGGTCAAATAGAACCTCCACTTGAAAGTACCTTTTTCCAGTTGATCTTGAATTCTCTATATTCTCTCTATGTACAAAAATGAAAATGATTAATTTGCACATATGCTTTAGGCAACAGTAGGGTATATCTCATTATATAATTTTCATAGCATTGATGGATGAGAAACATAGAGGTAAAATGCCAGTAGTAGTATAAGAGAAGTAGCTTTATTATAGAATAAAATTTCATATGAATCTTGTGAATGAAGAATTCAGTGTGTATGTCTATATATGTGCATGTGTCTCTGAAAATGATTTATGAGTGAACCTTAAAAAATAACATGAAATAGACATATAGCATCCATATAAAACATTCCACCCCACCTCTCCCAGGCTGGAGAGCAAATGCATGTTGTATCTACCTGCCTATGTTAAAATTTTAGTTTCACTGGAGTCATCATAAACAGTTTTGAGTGTACACTAGTATAGTGGACCATCGTTATTCAGGTTAATAAATTCTTCACTCACAATTGGTTGGGTAGGGATGGTGGTAGAAACTTAGCTAGCCAAGCTTCATCCTAAGAGTCTCAGAGTTACCATTGACAGTGGATGATCCTTCTTAGAAAGCAAAAAGAGAGAAAGGTTGGTGCTTGAGTAAACTTCCACAGGTATTATTTTTCTAGTTTTTCTATGAGGCTATGTATTTGGATCTATTTTGTGCTGTGTTGTATGTATGCCCTTTTTCCTCTGTACATGAGGAAAAACACAATTATCTGCAGGCTGTTTGTTGAAGGAAAGGGGCTTTTGTTGTACACCTGGAAAAAATTACATGTATGAGGAGGAAATGTGGAGAGTTAAGAGTGGATAGGGACAGCATCAGAATAGACTTCCAGACTAATATTTAGTATGAATAACCCTCAGTATGGGAAAGTGTTCGATATTATTAAGCTCCAGTACTTCTTGCAATGTTGATCTCTGTTATGTATTTGGCCAGCAGAATCAATGGCTATGTTTAAACATTTCCCTAGTGCAAAAAACCTTCTCATTCTAGGAAATTTCTGTCTTCAGGCCAGCTCCAATAGAAAGCCACACCAGGGGAGCTTTTAAGGGGATTTTCCTCTAGAACAACAACAACAAAAAATCCATTAACAAGAATTAACTTGCTTCTGAGCCAATCCCAGGATAGACTGTTTCATTTTAATACATGAAAATGTGCTTAAATATAACCTGGGATTTTGAGGGTTGGGTGTTTAGTCTTAACCACTGCCCTGCTGGCCAAGCACTGTGTTGGTAATGAAGATATTTCTGTGGGAAGAAAGAAGGGGAGATGTGATAATTGTGCTTCTAATTGACTCTAAGATTAGAATTCAATGCACTTTGGCTGGTGTAAACCTTAGCAAACATGATATTAGCATTTCCCTTCATAGACAACCTATGATCTAGTCCTTTAAACACAAAGAGTATAAGATGGGTGCACCATAGGTACAATCCCACACCAGTTATTTTGGAGGAAGTGGGCTTATCTGTTCATTCTAGTGAAAGAGTGTTGAGATGATAAAGTGCAAATGCAATTTGTTAAACATATGTGCTTTAGAACTCTTTCATGTTATAAATAGAACAGAGATAGTTTCTTTCACCTGGATTCAGTAGCTGAAGTAAAAAAATCTTGATTTGGTAATTAAGCAATAGCTTACAACTAAATGTCTGTGAGTTGCTTTGCATTCTCTTTTTTGTAAAATGGTATTTTTTTCTTCCTTTCTCCTCTTATTCTTCCTCTTGTTAGTTCTCCTTCTTCCTTTTCTTGAGCTACTGCTTTCCACGACCCTTCACTTTCTCCCCCTCCCTTTTCTTTTTCTTCTTTGTTGAATATCAATGGAAACATGTGTATGAGGGAGATTATATACACAGTGCCTATGGTAAATTTGAAACACCAATGTTAGTTAGAGAGTCTATTCGTTTTCTAGGGCTGCTGTGACAAATTACCACACACTTGATGGCTTAAAACAACATTCATTTATTAACTCATAGTTTCTGCATGTCATGGGTTTCTGCAGGCATAGATATATCACAATTTCAGAAGTCAAGTGTGCTGGGATAATTCCTCTGATCAGTCTCACAAGACAAAAATCTAGGTGTCAGCAAGCCAGGCTCCCTTCTGGAGACTCTAGTGAGCATCCATTTTCTGATTTATGCAGGTAATTGGCAAAATTCAGTTCTGGGCAGTTGCGGGAGTGTGGGCAGTGTGGCTTGTCCTCAGCTTCCGGAGCTATCTGTGCTTTTTGGCTCATAGCCTGCATCTCTAAAGACAGCAATGGGTGGGAGAATCCTTCTCTTGCCTCTTCTCTTCTGCCTCTTCTTTTGCCACATCTCTCTCATCTACTCTTTTGTTGTCTTCTTCTTTTTTTTCTAACCACCTCCTCCTCAGAAAGGAGAAGGATGGAAAGTGGGTCTGGAGGAACAAATGGAAGACATCTAGCATACAATATTTTCTCCTTTAAATAATTATTGTAAGGAATAAATTTTTAAAATGTATGTAAACCACTGCCATTTATAAAGGCACATGTGATTACACTGGGGTCCTACTGACAGCTCAGGATAATGTCCCTAATTTAAAATCAGCTGATAAGCAGCCTTAATTCCATATGCAAAATCCCCTTGTCAGGTAAGGTAACACATTCACAAGTATAATACTGGGAGATAAAGGTCATCTGGACCAAAATCCTGGCTATGATACTGTATTAGTCTGTTTTCAGGCTGCTGATAAAGACATACCTCAGATTGGGAAGAAAGAGAGATTTAATTAGACAGTTCCACCTGGCTGGGGAAGCCTCAGAATCATGGCAGGAGGTGAAAGGCACTTCTTACACAGTGGCGGCAAGAGAAAAATGAGGAAGAAGCAAAAGCAGAAACCCATGATAAACCCATCAGATCTCGTGAGACTTATTCACTATCGTGAGAATAGCACAGGAAAGACCAGCCCCCATGATTCAATTACCATCCCCTGGGTCCCTCCTACAACACAAGGGGAATTCTGGGAGATGCAATTCAAGTTGAGATTTGGGTGGGGACACAGCCAAACCATATCATACACTAATCTTGTTTTGTTGGCTTAATGACAGAGCATTAGCTTTAGGAACCAGACAGGTAGGAGATGAGTTTATAAACGTTCAGGGAAAATTAAAAAGTTTAATCTGGTCTTATAAGTCTGTAGCTAATAGAATGTCTGAAAGCAAAGCTAGGTTTTCTTTTTCAAGACTTTTGTATGTGTATGTGAGTGTGTGTCCAATTTGACACATGAATAATTGCTTGAGTTCCTCAAATTTTACTCTGTGGTGCATGAGTCATTTGGCTTGTGCCTGAAAAGAAATGTAATGTCTTGTTTTTGGTTAATCATTACAACCCTAGAAGAGCCTTCATGATACTTTCAAGAATGGTCAATTTAGGGTAACATGGCTTTCCATATGCTCACCAAATTGAATGTTATTATATGACATATATAAGTCTGCTTTATACAATATACAGATCAATTGAGCTTCAGAAAAATATAGTTGTCAAAATTAGACATGTAATTATTTAGAATAATCAATATTAAGCTTAATTTTCTTACTATACACTTTTATAGTGATTTTTAATGAAGGCATTATTGTGTTGTTTCATATTCTTTGCAAGTAGTTTAATGACCACATAAATCTTTTCAATGTCATAATATTATTTTCTTATCCAGTCCTTTACTCTTGAACATGTTATAGTTTGATTTTTTTTAGTTTTCTTTTAAAATATCAAAAGATATGCTATATTAAATCTCATTTGCAGGCACTGAGGTTTTTTCATTTTAAAACATTTTTTATTCTTATGATACATTTTAATATATAAGATTATTTGAGGAGGAATGATACATACTTTCTAGTTTTCTTTCAAAAAAAATTAATCAACATTATCACCAGTAATGTAGAAGAATATCAATTTCACAATATCTTACCAATATATGATTATCATTTTTTGAAGTTTTACCTATTTTGAAAAAAGCCCCTTTAAATATGGTAAACTTTACATTAGGTAAGTTCCTGCTCTTTAATATTATTTTCATGAGTTTTTTTTTGTTTTTTTGTTTTGTTTTGTTGTGTTTTAATCAGGATTCTGGGAACAGAGACAAGACTAGATGGTTTCCTTGGGGAATTTTATATAAATATCTGCCCTGGGCTAAAAATAGTTATACATCCCAAAGGAAGTTGGTCAATTCAGGCTTAGAAATGACTAAATTGAACAATGTTAGTCATAGCCTGAACTATTAAAGTACTATCCTTTACATAAAAAAGATGTGCCTGACATTTTTTCAGCCTTAATCTAAAAAATGATGTTGAAAGGAATGAGATAATGTCTCTAAAAAGCTTTTGATTTATGATGGAAATAATCACAAAAACTATGCTATTATTATTTTGTTTTAAATTTAACTAAAATGAAATATTACATAGGGATTTGCTCCTCTGTTTGATATGGAATTAATAAGCCCAACTTCTTTTTTATATGTTCTCCTCTCAAAAGTATAAAAATAGTAAAAAGTAATTTTTAAAATTAGTAAGCCAGGCAACAATAAAATATTACCTTTTTAATCAATTTATTTATTTATATATTAAGCATTTTTCTACACCTAAAACATAAATACATTTAAATACACTTAAATACACTTCAGATATATTTATTTAACATTTGCAATAAATATGTCTGAAGTGTATTTAAATCTTCACTCTCAGCAAACTCATCATTTGTCTATCTATGTAGTCTAGTGTGGATGGTTGTCCTGAAGTTTTCTTTTTAACTAACTTGTTAATTTTAGTATAGTTTTATCTTAACAGAACAGTTGCAAAGACAACACAGACATTCAATGATAGATGCAAAGACAGTTTGCAAAGACAATATATACCCAATGATAGATGCAGGAGGCAGATAAGGGGGGTACACGGAGAATCGCTGACCCGCCCCACAAGTGTTCACATCAGATCCATTTGTGCAGATGAGGGAACCACCCAGAGTCTTGTATGCACATGTCCATCATGGATTGGGGACCTGCCTGTGCACTGGGATGATGGAGTGGAGCCATGGGAGGATCACACCTTGTGCAAGGGAGAGGAACCTGGCCTCTTCGGCGCGTGTGTGGTGGCCTGGTATTCAAAGTGTCAGGTGTTGAGAACCCGTTGGCAGGACTCCCTCTCGCTTTGCTGAGTGCTTTCTTTCTCTTTTCCTTTTCACCCAATAAATTCTCTTCTGCTTACCCTTCAGTGTGTGTGTGTGCCTAATTTTTCCTGGTTGTGACACAAGAACCAGGATTTAGCTGCACTAAGAAGCAAAAATTCTGTATTATCAACACACGATCTCTCCTCTTGTTAATAATTTACATTAGTATGGTATATTTATAACAACTAATAAACCAACATTGATAAATAATTGACTGAAGTTCATACTTTATTTAGATTTATTTGGTTTTTGTCTAGTGTCCTGTTTCTGTTTCAAGATCTCACCCAGGTTTCAACTGTACTTTTAGTCACCTTATCTTACCAGGCTCTTCTTAACTGAGACAGTTTCTTAGACTGTTCTTATTTCTAATAACCTTAACAGTTTTGATGAGTACCAATCAGGTATTTTGTAGAATGTCTATCAGTTGGTATTTGCCTCATGTTTTTCTCATCATCAGACTGGAGTTATGGGTTTTGGGAAGGAAGGGAGTCCACAGAGGCAGAGTGTCATTTTTATCACATCATGTCAGTGGTATACACTATAATGTGATTTACCACTGCTGATGTTTATCTTGATCACCTGGTCAAGTGTCAGGTTTCTCCAGTGTAAAGACATTCTTTTCTTTCCCTTTCCATACCATACTCTTTCAAAGGAAGTCACCCTAAATATCCCACTGTTAAGGAATGAGACTTATGTTCCACCTCTTTGAGAGTAAAATAGCTACATAAATTATTTGGAATTATTCTGCAAGGGAGATTTGTCTCTTCTGCCCCATTCATTTATTTATTCAATTATCTCTTTATATTAGTATGAATTCATTTGTATTATAATCCAATAATACTTTATTTTGTTGCTCAAATTGTTCTCTGACCCTTGAGAATTCTTTTCAGTTGGCTCCTGTGTACCTTTGACATATCTCCATCATTGTGAGATATTTTTGTTATTTGAACATTTTCTTACTTTTGCATGCTACGAGATGCTCCAGCCCATCTTGTATATTCTCTGCCTCAGCCCTAGACTCTGCCATTTCTTTAAGCAACCCTAGAACCTTTAATTGGAGAATAATATTAGAAACCAAAGCTAGGGGGTAGATGCCCTGGAGTATTTTTGATATCTAAGTCTGTCCTACAGGCAGAAATTCTTGAAACCTTTATCCCATGTGTATCTTTGATTAAGTCCCAAGAGTCTCCCTCTGATGAATGTTTCCAGGTTTGTGCAAATACAGTCCTTAAGAGTGCATCACGCTACCTGACTTCAAACTATACTACAAGGCTACAGTAACCAAAACAGCATGGTACTGCTACCAAAACAGAGATATAGATCAATGGAACAGAACAGAGCCCTCAGAAATAATGCTGCTTGTCTACAACTATCTGATCTTTGACAAACCTGAGAAAAACAAGCAATGAGGAAAGGATTCTCTATTTAATAAATGGTGCTGGGAAAACTGGCTAGCCATATGCAGAAAGCTGAAACTGGATCCCTTCCTTACACCTTATACAAAAATGAATTCAAGATGGATTAAAGACTTAAATGTTAGACCTAAAACCATAAAAACCCTAGAAGAAAACCTAGGCATTACCATTCAGGACATAGGCATGGGCAAGGACTTCACGTCTAAAACACCAAAAGCAACGGCAACAAAAGCCAAAATTGACAAATGGGATCTAATTAAGCTAAAGAGCTTCTGCACAGCAAAAGAAACTACCATCAGAGTGAACAGGCAACATACAAAATGGGAGAAAATTTTCGCAACCTACTCATCTGATAAAGGGCTAATATCCAGAATCTACAATGAACTCAAACAAATTTACAAGAAAAAAACAAACAACCCCATCAAAAGGTGGGCGAAGGACATGAACAGACACTTCTCAAAAGAAGACATTTATGCAGCCAAAAAACACATGAAAAAATGCTCACCATCACTGGCTATCAGAGAAATGCAAATCAAAACCACAATGAGATACCATCTCACACCAGTTAGAATGGCGATCATTCAAAAGTCAGGAAACAACAGGTGCTGAGAGGATGTGGAGAACTAGGAACACTTTTACACTGTTGGTGGGACTGTAAACTAGTTCAACCATTGTGGAAGTCAGTGTGACGATTCCTCAGGGATCTAGAACTAGAAATACCATTTGACCCAGCCATCCCATTACTGGGTATATACCCAAATGACTACAAATCATGCTGCTATAAAGACACATGCACACGTATGTTTATTGCGGCACTATTCACAATAGCAGAGACTTGCAACCAAGCCAAATGTCCAGCAATGATAGACTGCATTAAGAAAATGTGGCACATATACACCATGGAATACTATGCAGCCATAAAAAATGATGAGTTCATGTCCTTTGTAGGGACATGGATGAAATTGGAAATCATCATTCTCAGTAAACTATCGCAAGAACAAAAAACCAAACACCACATATTCTCACTCATAGGTGGGAATTGAACAATGAGAACACATGGACACAGGAAGGGGAACACCACACTCTGGGGACTGTTGTGGGGTGGGGGGAAGGGGGGAGGGATAGCTTTGGGAGATATACCTAATGCTAAATGACGAGTTAATGGGTGCAGCACACCAGCATGGCACATGTATACATATGTAACTAACCTGCACATTGTGCACATGTACCCTAAAACTTAAAGTATAATAATAATTTAAAAAAAAAAAGAGTGTGACCGTGGTTTTATGATCTCCTGATGCTGCTAGCCATGAATATATACTGGTGAGTCATATATGTATCATGTCCTAACTTTGTCATCTTCCCTTTCTGAATCAGAACATGGATTGTCAAAGGTAAGACTGATTAGAAGAATGAAGGGCTAAGATTGCTGACTAAAGACTCACTCTCTCAGCTATTTCCTAGGCACTTCTCTCTGGCGCCAGATACCAGAATATTCACAACTTCTACTGTTGGCCAAACCCACAAAAGAATCACTTAAATGACCACAGTCTACACCATTTATTTTATTGAACAAAAATTGACTGAGCATTTACCATGTCACAAACCCTATTCTAAGCACTGTGAATACAGTGCAGAAAACAACAGAATGGTGGGCCTCTATACCCACAGAAATGACATTCTTATGGTGAAGACAGGCAACAAACAAGTAAACAAAGAAACATGTACTAATGGGAAATATCATGAAGAGATAAAGCAATGGGGGTATTTAGATGTTCAGGAGAGATGATTTCTACAGAGATGGAAGTGACAGGAGATTTCAACCAAATGAAAATCTTACAGATGAGAATTTTGGGAAATAATAAGAGCAAGTACAAATACCTTGAGGCAGAAGCAAGCTTGGTGTGTGAAAGAAATATATTAAGAGTCACTGTGACCAGAGAAATAAAGAAACAGGAAAAGTAGCACAAAAGTGAGGCAGTAAAGTAAGATATGGCAACTGCATATGTGGAACTTTGAAATCTATTCTAAGGGTGGTTAGGAACTAGTGGATGGTATTAAACAGAACACGATCTAATTTGAGCTGGCTGCTGCATGGTGAGGCAATTATAAGTGGGCAGATTTGTAGCTATTATAATTTACCTATCACTTATGCTGTCTGTTCTCTTAAAAACTTGTAAAGCAAAAAGGGACTGAGGCACATCTCAATTGATTAAAGGTTTATTTTTACCAAGGCTGAGGATGCATCTGACAAAAAGAAACACAAGTCACAGTAGGATCTGTGACCTGTGCTTTTTCCAATG
Organism: Homo sapiens; assembly: GCF_000001405.40. Taxonomy (NCBI): domain Eukaryota; kingdom Metazoa; phylum Chordata; class Mammalia; order Primates; family Hominidae; genus Homo; species Homo sapiens. Next base: position 137,673,376 of record NC_000004.12, on the reverse strand, counting down.
AGGGTGTTGGGAACTTCAATATTTAAAGAAGAAAGAGTAAGTAGGAGGGGAAGGAAAAAAAAAGGAGGGTGGGTAGGCAATGATGTAAGTAATTACATTCCTGTGAGGCTCTGATTAGTGCTCAGCAAATCTACATTTTACATGCGAGAAGAAGAGAGTGGGGGGATTCATTTGTTTTGCCCAATAAATCTACATTTTACATGAGATAAAGTAAGCATGTGAAATTAAAGCTATCTGTTTCAGTACAAAAGAAAGTCAGTTTTTGCATGACTCAGTTCCCAAGCTTAACCTTCTCTTTGGCTTAGTTAGTTTGGGGTCCTGAGATTCTATTTTTCTTTCACAAACTTTACATGTATCATTTTAATCATTACTTGAAATAATACTATGAGGTAGATATTAATTATCCCCACTTATATTCTAGGAAATTGAGGCTCAAAGAGATTAGAAATGTAAATGAAGACCATCTAGCTACTAAGTAGTAGAGCCAGTATTTCAACCTTACTAAATTACACAGGTTCAAATTTAAAACAAAAAAATGTAATTAGGCTAATTTAGAATTGTTATATTCTGTTAAATGTTGAATAAAGAATGTATTTAAGTTGTGATCTAAAATAATGTTAAGACACATTTAGCCAGTGGTACCCACAATATTTTAATTCTGCCCTCATTCTAAACACGTTTTACTCACAAACCTCTAAGATAGATATACGCAGGAAGGAGACAAACTAGTAAATTGTTATTAGCTAGAGTGTTTTCTGAAATCCTAATGAAAAACTTGAGTAAGCTAGATTGGGCCAAATAGAGTCCAGAACCAAATATCAGAGGTAATCACACCTGTCTGTGTAGAGAAAGAAAGTAAAAGGAGTCACTTTCTTGTTGGAGTTCCTTCAACCTGCCTATACTATGCCCTTTCAGATGGGAAAAACCATTCTTGGAATAACTCATCTTATTCAGGATTACTGCTCACCACCTAATGGTAAACATCTCAGAGGAGGCTTTATAGACTTTATAGGAGGAAGACAGAGGATAGAGACTATGCTCTTAGATAATGTGGACAGGTCCATACGGCACCCTTCAGCATGAAGACAGTTGTCTTTACACTGACTCATAGGAGTGGGGCTTATGTTAAATATATAAAACTTGGACTTTCCATACAGTTCAATACGTTTTGCAGACTGATGCTGCACATTAATGTATTAAAGACTCCAAGATCCTTGTAGTAAAGGTACTCACTTTCCTTTTTCAAACCATCTCTTTACACACACACACACACACACACACACACACACTGAGAATATTTCCTTTTCTACATGGCACCTATTAACATTCTATTGGAAGGGAATGCTGCGTACCCACCTTGAGAAATCTTGCCTTATATCACCTTATATCACTGAGGGCACAACCCAAAATCTGTCTCTTGGGGTTAAAGGTAATTCCCATTAGATAATGCCTTCTCCAGCCAGTGCCTATTTTGAACAGTCAGATAGATCTTACGGGTTTGCATTCCGAGAGCAAACTTAGTATTTGTTAATATTGATTGAGAAATATATTGCATGCAGGATGAAATTGATTAAATTTTCAAAACTTCCTAAAAGTCTTGAGCAAGAAAGGGAAGAAAGTTGAGAGAGTGTGATCACTATGAGACTGACACAACAAGGCCAGAATAGGCTTTTGCTCTGGGATGCGAAGTGACCTCAGAGAGAGTGAGAGAGAAGCAATTTCAGCCCTAGATAAGATAGAGAGTAGTAATTCTCCCAAATTTACTGTTGAATTTTCTCAATTACATAAAGTGCAAAGAATTTTCTCCAATTTCTAGAGATTAAAGGAACGTTAAAAAATAATAACTTGGCAAGATTCTGTTTATACATAAAATACATATATATTACATATATGTATATTTTAAGAGTCAAGCAAATTAAAACAACAAATATACAATGTTGTTAGGAAGAGTAGCAACTGAGCAAAAATTCTATCTTTAGCCATTTTTAGTTTGGCAAATAAGAACAATGGACGCTAACAAAAAGAAGATGTGCGACATTCCAGCAAAGTACAATAAATTAAATTAGAATAAATGGATTGTCATGATACCATGAAAAAGATGACTATCTGAAACTAATTTTTATAAACTTGTAAACAGAAATTTAAGTCTTGAATTTCCCTTGTAAGGTTAAACTACATTGAACTTTCTGATATGAGATCTAAGAAATATCCCAATTTTTAACATAGTCCTTAATTTGAAAATGGTAAGTACCATGTCCTCTTACATTACGTAAACAACATAAATGAAATATTTATATGCAAAGTTATTATTTGAATTTCTGAAATAATATAGTGTGTTTTCTGAGGATCATTTTTCTTAATATAAAAAGAGAATGTAGGCCAGGCGCAGTGGCTCACGCCTGTAATCCCAGTACTTTGGGAGGCTGAGGCGGGCAGATCACGAGGTCAGGAGATCGAGACCATCCTGGCTAACATGGTGAAACCCTGTCTCTACTAAAAATACAAAAAATTAGCTAGGCGTGGTGGTGCCTGTAGTCACAGCTACTCAGGAGGCTGAGGCAGGAGAAAGGAGTGAACTCAGGAGGCAGAGCTTTCAGTGAGCCAAGATCACTCCACTGCACTCCAGCCTGGGTGACAGAGCGAGACTCTGTCTCAAAAAAAAAAAAAAAAAAAAGAATGTAAAGAAGACGATACAGTTTTACTAAAATCTCAGAATTCCTTTCCTTTTCTTCTTCTTCTTTCTAGTCGATTATTTTTCTCTCTAAACATAGTGAATTTTTAAGAATCTCAATAAAGATAAAAATAAAATTTCCATGTGGAATGATAATTCTATAAAAAAACTAAAATACAAAATTCCTCTCAGAAATATTTCTCTGTTCATCCTCCCTCCATCCTCACATCCTATTTTTCTAGCCTTCTTTTTTTTTCTTAATGTAAGATTCAGCGGGTACATGTGCAGGTCTGTTACATCTGCACATGTACCTCCTGAATTAAAATTAAGGAAAAATGGGTATATCGTAATAGGTATATTGTGTGATGTCTCTAGCCTTTTCTTTGTTAACAAAGTATTATGACAAGTAAAATCTTATTACACCAAAGTGTATGATGAAGTTCTCTGTCTGATTAAGATTCATTAATGGTTTACGTCAAAATAGAGGGTGAGTGACTTTCAACCTTGCATTCTCCTGCACTGAAGTTGAAGCTTAATGTTATTTATTGACCATTTTCCAAAACACTGTGGTAGTTCTAAGCTTATGACATACACTGTCTTCGAATACTATTTGACACTCTCAATTCAGTACATTTTATTTAGATCTTCTAGATTCAATAAGACTAACTGGAAAAATGAGGGATTAATATAGTATATATAAACAAACTGTAGCACACACATACATTTAATAAAACCTCTACTATGGTGATTTTGAATAACATATATATAATATATGTATGTATCTTTCTATTTATATGCATGTATATAAATATAATTTTTCAGAAAGTAAGTGAATTGAACTTTTAAGATTATTTATTCAACATATAGTTATAGGACAATTCTTAATCAACCAGTATATACAGGTGTTATTTGAGATACTGAATGTCAACAAAGGAAACATGAAACTCAGTTGGGGAAATTCCATCTGTAAGGAAACACAAAATTAAGTGATGTATGAATGAGAAAAAGAGACCAGCCCTAAAATCAAGAATTTTGGTTGCAATCAAATAAGAAAAATGGAAAGTTAGAGTGGAAGAGCCAGTAGTAACAGTAGCAACAGATTTATTAAAGAAGACAGAAATAATTTTTAGTTATATTCCTATGTAAATATTGGAGAGCTGTCTACATTAAAATGAGGTTCCAGGGTGGTCCAAAGGAAAATAACCAAGTGAAGCAGAATGTAATCAAAACAGAAGGCATATCTATTCTATATTAGGAAATGGTCATGAACATATGCTTATACTAAGAAATTGGATGTGATTTAGAGTTTAAATATTATTCAACAAGAAAGTTGAAGAATTTCCACATTGCAATCACATGAAAAAGCAGACTGCAATGATGAGCTGTAAAAGATGTGTGAGAAAAGAAACAGACCCCAAATCCTTGCTGCTTTGCTCCACTGGGATAGGCCTTGAACTAACACAGTGAAAGCCAGAGTTTCATGCCTGTGGGGGTCTGTTAATTTTTGCATACTTCATGGATACAAATTTTGTCCCTTTCCCTAGCCAGTCATTTTACAAACTCATACTATTTGTTACACAATAGGGACCAGGCAAGTAAAGGTATGTAAACCTAGAATAATGATGTGTCAGCAGTTTTATTATTTTATACACAAGGCATAACCATATTATTTTTCTATCTTACTTTTTTTAATCAAAGAGTATCAGGATAGATTCTGGAAAAATATTGCTAATATCTGAAATTCTAAATGTATTTTTTTATATTTTTAGTATTATATACACTATTTTCTGTGGTACAAATAGCTTTTTTTTAATTACTTTTCCTAATAAGAATATAAGAATTTTTATAAAGAAATTCTCAGTTTAACATTTCTAGATATTAAAAGCAAACATGTATTTGGTGTATTTCATGGTTGCTATATGATTTAATCAAACTGTCTCCTTCTACTTTGAAAGCAATATTGAAAGCATATTAATTCATTAAACTGGTAGTTTTTTTGTTACTCCAATTGCAGAGAGTGAAGTGGTTCTTAATTAGATTTAGTAATAAACCAAAGCAGACATGGACCCTGACTTCAAAGAACTTATAGTCTAAATGATAAGAAAGATCTTCATTAACAAGTTTTTAAAAGCTCTATAAATAGTGTCATAATGTAACATAGTAGAAAACACAGCAAAAGAAAGGAACTGGATGGTGTGTGTTAGAGTGACATAGAATGTTTTGATATATAGTTATTCTCCTTATACGCAATATATTTCTTCACATCTGGCCAAGCACATGTATAAGAATATAATAAACACTTAAGAAGATAATATGTTGCATGTGCATCTTGATTGTTTCAAAATTAAAGCTTTTTAAATATTAAAGATGATCAAATATTAATATGATGCTGGCATCTATGCTGAAGTTTCTAAGGGTACAGAATACAGCACATGCTTACTTAATAATCTAAATTTCATTTTACCACAGAGAACTGCACCAACTTCCAGTTCATATTCAAATGCAGTTAAGGTGCTGCTTGCAATCTGTAAAGCTTTATTGTCTGAGTCTTACTTACCTGGGAGACCGCTTATGTGCATTTCACAAAGCAGACTTTGGAGCAGTTCTGCTGACAGTTTCCCTGCCTGGATCTGAAGTACTGATGAGGCAGCACCACTCCTGGCAAAATGCTTGAGTTCTGGCGCTTGTTATTCTGTCTTCAAGACCCAATCAATATTTTCAAATGTGAGGAGACATGCACTGCTGCTTAAATAGCACTTGTAAACAAGGTAAAAGGTTTTTTAGTTAGTTTTGTTTTTGATAAATAGTGTGAAAATATTATCTGTCATGCATCTGCAAATATTGACATGCAACAAATATATTAAATATTATGTATTAAAATGTTATTTCTTAGAGAAGCTTTAAATTAGTTATTTCTAAAAAATACAAAACACATAATACAAAAATTTGTCAATAATCAATCCATTCCATTACTAGGAAAATAAATGTGCAATGCTAACCATCTCTCAGAAATGATGGTTTCTTGAGAATGCACTTTAAGTAACATTTTAAAATAAACTCACATAATTAATTCTGTTGAGAAGGTAAGGTTACACAATATTTTTGCATCAATACCTAAAAATACTGATAATAACTAAACATTACTGTAATTCATCTGAAACATGGGACAAGGAGTTTGAAAATTATAGGTTATAGATTGCTTATTTTATTTGGTAAAATTGCCCCAAGCATTTCATGTCAAGTCAACTAACAGGAAGAAAGTTGGCCAGGTGCAGTGGCTCATGCCTGCAATCCCAGCACTTTGGGATGTGGAGGCAGGAAATCACTTGAGGCCAGGAGTTCAAGACTAGCCTGGGCAACATGGCAAAACTCTGCCTTTACTACAAATGTAAAATTTAGCCGGGCGTGGTGGCCCATGCTTGTAATCCCAGCTACTTGAGAGGCTGAGGCATGAGAATCACTTGAACCTGGGGGCAGAGGTTGCAGTGAGCTGAGATGGTGGCACTGCACTCCAGCCTGGGCAACATAACAAGACTCTGTCTCAAAATAAATAAATAAATAAATAAATATTCTTTTTAAAAGCGATATAGAAATTGATATAGTGATTGTGTCTTTCTGTGTTTCTGTTTATTATATATAAAGTCTTTGGGAATACTCAACACTATTTTGAACTTTCAACTTTGAACTTATTACTTTAGATTAAAAAATACACTATATAAAGTGCCCAAAATGGACAGAAAAAATATTTCCACATCCTTTGGAATACTCAGTGTAGTATGGTACATATGTATATTCTAAAAGACTGTTTTAATTAACTTTATTATTTTTTTCGACAACCACAATGGCTCTCAGGACGCTAATTCATGATTATCCTGAGTGCCTAATTTTAGAACTCACATTACTGTAATACATACTAGGCTGTCTTTTTTTTTCCTTAAGCAAATATCATTTTCAAAGTGGAGTAACAAAAGTTTCAAGATGATAGGAAAAAAATGTCAATTTTGGTTTTGTAGGAAGATTTACCTCTATACTTAATTACCTCCGCTATCTACTCTATCTCTGCTGAGCACAATCAATTTATTTCACGTCCATGGTTATTGTTGAAGTACAGTGAAGCATGACAGTGTAAAATGAAACACTAGGAACAAAATGTAAAGGAGGTCCGACAAATAAAGAATATAAATGATAGGTGGCCATGCATAGCTATTGTGTGATGATATTTGCATTTTAAGTTTTCTGCCTCGGTATATGACTTGGCTGCCCCTACAAAAATTATTAGATCTCATTTTGATCTTGCCTATTTGTTTACAGTGCAGCTTAAGAAATAGTTACGTAGAAATTTTTGTTAAAGGGAAAATAATTCTATTACGAAGAAGTTGGATATATAGGATCATAATTGCTGGTTGAAATTTGAAGGAGAATGTGATGTACTCCATTCTCTTCTGTGTGAATAGATTAGATTCAAGAGTTTGGCAAAAATCATATCAGGTAGAATGTGGCCCATCAGGGTTATATTGTGAAATTAATGAGAGCATTCCTAGAATTTTATGCATCAAAAAGATTATATGACACTTTAGGAAGATCAGTCCGACTGTTTTGCAGCTTAATTATACAACAGCCAAGATGGCACAGAAACCTGTTAGGAGATTATGACAACTGAGATTTTAAAATGATGGTGAAGCCAGGCATGGTGGCTCATGCCTATAATCCTGACACTTTGGGAGGCCAAGGTGGGAGGATTGCTTGATGTCAAGAGCTGTAAAACAGCCTGAGCAACATAGCAAGACACTGTCTCTACAAAAATAAAATAAAATAAAATAAAATAAAATAATTTTCTGGATGTGGTGGGATGTGCCTATAGTCCCAGCTACTCGGGAGGCTGAGGCAGGAGGATCACTTGAGCCCAGGAGTTTGAGGCTGCAGTGAGCCGTGATAGCACCACTACAGTCCAGCCTAGATGACAAAGTAAGGCCTAAAAAAATAGAAATAAAAAAAAGATGGTGAAATGAACTATAGTAATGGTCATAACATCAGCACATCCTGTGAGTAAGTTACTCTTCCCATCTTCATTTTACTGATGTGGACGATGAGAGACAGAGAGGTTAAATAACTTACCTACCATTACGCCGGTAGCAAGAAACACAGCCAGGACTTGCACAGAGGGAGTTTGAGTCCAGGGCCCTTTACTGTTTCTCTGATAAAAGATAGAGATAAATCATAGATCCAAGTGAGATTTGTAGGTAAGATTGGTAGGAATTCGTCACTAAAAGGATACAAAAAGTGAGAGAAAACCACAGGCTATATATGTAGATTTGGGAATCATCATCTACCTATGGAAGAGAAATAGAAAATATGTGCAGCTTAGAAAGAAAACAACATCTAAAAATGATATCCTAGAAAACCCCAAGATTTAAAGTCTGATGGAAGAAGTGGAGCCCACAATGATGATTAACCCAGAAACAACAATGTCATAGAGACTGAGGAAGGATAAGTTTTCAAGGAGAGTGCTGCAAACAGATCCAAATTCTACAGAAAGTATAATAAATACACGGTGAAAACTGCCCGTTGTTCTTTGACTTAATAACAGGCAGTTCATCAATGACCTTGCAAACTACAACTTCTGGGTGGTAGTTGAGGTTTGATTTAATTAAATCTAATAAGATCTAGTCATAGGCTTGAAACTGAGCCTTATGAATTCTATCTTGGACGGTAGCAGGCTAGAATAGGAGGAGTGTAACTACGGACCTAGAGCATATGCTAAAAACAGGTATCATGGAGGAAAAAGAAGAGATTTGTTGGGAGAGAGAATGAAATATCAGGATAAAGCAGGTAAGGAAGTATTGAGTAATATTTTGAAAAAGAAGAGAGATATAGAAGATCTAGAAAGTGGAAAATAACTGATAAAACGAAAATACATTGAAGGAGCCAAAGGAACCATGACATCTGAATTATCTGAGAAACTTGTAGTGCTGAAATTTATACCATATGGGATTGGTCATACATTGTGTCTTCTCTCAAGGATTTATCACTTTTGAAAAATACATTCCATTCCTTTTCAGTCTTTGTACTGTCTCATTGGTGTCTCCAAACAAGGTCTATCCTGAGAGAGATTTTTTTGTGCAGAGAATAGCACTGATTCTCTCTCTCTCTCTCTCTCTCTCTCTCTCACACTTACTCACTTTCTCTGTCTCTCTGTGTGTGCTAAAAATGTGTGCGGTTATATGAAAATAATTTAAATTGTGAAGGTTAGAATGAGGTGCTGCATTTTATAGCATAACCTTTAAAAATAATAATTATTTGAAGTCTGTTTCCAGAGTTATAATGGTTTGAGCCACACTGTTTTCTAAATACTCAAATTTGGTATGCAGCTTTATGACAGGAAGTTGGCTTTCAGAGCAGGAATGTATGTAAACAAAGAAATGTGGCTCACAGGAAGGTTTAGCTAAATCAAATCCCGAAGGCTGCCTCCATTCTGAGCTTCTTTCTGTATCTTGATTATTTGCAGATGCTTTACATGAAGTTAGAGATGAAACCCAATAGTTAACCTCCCTAAAACTCCCAAGGCAATTCACAGTTAGCCCTGAGTGTTGACCAGCTAAACTAAACAATGAGAAGGAAGTAGGAAATTTAATGCCATCCTGCTTCAAGATGCATAAAGTACTTTTTTCTCTCTCAGGAATCAAACCTCAAGACTAAACTTTTCAAAAACAGACTAAAAAAAATCAACTAATACAACTGCCTGGAATCATCACTATAAACATGAAGAGTTGAAAACTATTTGTTCCTTAGACATTATTACAAAATCACATGCCTGCTGAGCTTCAAGTCCTATTGTCTTGCGCGAAGTGCACAGTTCTGCCTTTCTCGGCTGTAAAAATGCTAAGATACCAGGAGTTATAAATTGTCTTATATAATAAGTCATGGAAACTTTACAGGACAAAGTAGATAAAAAAGAAGAGAAAGATTTTTTGTCAGCTTGAAAACTCTGTCTTTATGAATGAAAACAAAACGTTACCTAATTTCTTCAGTGCTACCCAGTACAAAGATGTAACCCTAGTCTCTTGAAATCTAGCAGCTGCTTTATTTTTCCCAAGCTAAGTAATTGGAGGGAAGACCCAGGAAAGTAAAACTTACTGTGTTACATTTTTGGAACTCTGGTTGTAAGCATGCCTTGTGCTAATGAAACAGTAGAGAAGCAAACTGTGGGAGAGCATGCTGGGAGAGGCCCAGCAGAGGGGCCCTGGGCAGAGGCCACACTCTCACTTCCCAGGCAGTGTGGGATAGGATCCTGCGGGTGCCCACCCTAGAATTAACCCTAGGATGGATGCAATCAGGATTCAGTTTTGTTGAGACTGCTGCAGAGAGGATTTGTTACTTGAGACCATATACATCCTGGAATTCTGCTGGAATAACAGGTAAACTCTCAAGAAACTACCAATGCCCAAGGCCACTGCTCAGAGTGAGCTGCCATATCTCTACATTGAACCTGTAAACAAAATACTAGAACAGTGGGGATGGGCAGTGGGTGGGGAGAGAGAGTGGTGTGTTGCAGCTGTCAGATAAGAAAGGATCTGTGTTTTCCTTCTCCTTCTCCCCTCATCAATAACTGAGAAGCTGGTATCAAGAAAAGAAGACAGGAAGAAGTGTGAGAGTCACATCAAACCCATCCTATCTTGCAGCCATTAGAACTTCAGCTCATATTTAACTGAAGGAAAAAAGAATATATTTTAGAATATGAAATAAATTTTTTAAATGAATAGAGATAAGTAAAAACTAAGATGAGACTGAATAATTGAAAGTGAATGAACATAAGGAGATTGGGCCAAAGAATTATTAACAAATATAGTTTTTATCCACCAATAATATGAGCTTCAATATTGCATAGATGTGGACAGTTACTGAAAAAAAAAACAGTTTTGTGTTTATGACCAGTGATTTGAGATTATTAAGTAAATTCATTACATAAGACATCTCAGTTTTGGAAGCAATAGCTGAAACTCTTTATGGCATCTTATTTTTTTGTTTTCTATTTATTGACATTGAAAATATTGACTTCTTTAGTCCCAGATAGGTAATGCTTTTCTATGTCTAGATATTTCCTGAATTTTTTGGGAAAATCGATATGGATATTATCTCTTAAAATTAAATGTGCTGCATTTCTCAGTGTCAGTGTTACAGCTTTTTCACTCCTGTTGTTCTGCGAGTGGGAGGGAGCGTTGCAGCTCTTTCACTCTTACCACCAGTGAGCTCTGGGTTCTCGTCCCATGACAAAGAAGACTAAGGCATGCAGACAATGGACAGTGAGCAAGGCAGAGTTAGATTCATTAGGGAACAGAAAAGCTCTCAGCAAAGAGAGGGGACCCGAAAGAGGGTTGCAAGCTATGAAGCTGAGTCCAGGGGTTTTTATGGACTGGGAAGAGGGAGGAATGTGCTGACTGGTCTGAAGGCCATCTTGGAGAAAGCACCTCTCAGAAAGAGGTATGATAGTGAAAAGAACCAGTTGGAAGCAGAGGTAAAGGCTTGGCCCAAGACTTCGGCCTAGGACCAGTCAGGGGCTGTAATGAAGGCTTGGCTGGGACCTTGGCCCAGGACCAATCAGGGGCTGGAGTGATGATTCACCCTATGTAAATGAAGATTCTCTCAGCAGCCAATCACAGAAAGGTAGGTGTATGTAAAATAGGTGAAAAGCAGGAGACTAAGGCAGATCAAGGAGACAGAAATGTGTCTAAAACAGAAGTGGAATTTGTTCATCTGTGTTCACAGAGTAAGCGTTTCCATTCAAGGACACAGGCTCCTTATCTGGGGCTCGCAGTTTGACTTTCAGGCTATTCTTGGTTTGAAGGAGTTTTACCAAGGACCCACCCTAACTGCCTGCTTGACCAGTTTCTTCCTTCCACTGCTCTCACTAACATGTTCAGAACTCTCAAAGCCTTTGAGTTTGTTGACAGTTAAGAACTCATACTCCACTCACTCTGCCACCCATGAATTTATTTTTAGTTCCATTTGCATTTGAATAGAATAGCATGTTTACACACATTTACACAATGCACACATATTCTCTTTATTCCTCTCTCTCACATGCAGACACACAGTTTTAATTCCAGGTTTCCTCTACAGTGATGTAGTCCTTATAGTACAAGGGGGTCGACATATGTGGTATAATGTAACCTAACCACAATGAGCAGTGGCCTGGCCTGACGTTAAGTGTGCTTTTTCTATCAAGAGAAAACCCTACCATAAGAAGACTAACAGCCACTGCTTCCTTACTGAGAAGAGGGCTTTTTCTATCTAAATCAAGTTTTATAAAATTAGGTAGTTTTTCATCCCTAGGAGATATTTTTTCTTAGAAACAACTAGAATATTTAACATTGTATAATGATCAATCAAATCTGAGGAAAGTGATCACCTACTGATCACATCAGTGGCTAGAGATGTGGGCCAACAAAGCTTAGCTTCAAATCTTTGTTTTGGTTTAGATGACAAAAATGTCAAAACAGCATTTGTTATTTTAATTCTTTTGCTAGAAGAAAATAATATTTCATTTCTAGATGCTTTAAGTTTACTAAGCCAATAATTATCTAAAAAATGTATTTTAGTTTTTTCATGTGATGGATAGATTTTTATTTTTATTTTTGGTAACATATAAAGATTTTTTTTAATTTAACTTGAGCATTTGTAGGTGAGTTCTTATAAGTAAGAGTGTCATAATCATGTAGACTTTTATTGTGAGTATTTCCATCTCCACTAGTAAAACCTATGGAGAACAGGTGAATTGCTAAGGTTGGAAAATAGTAAGATTGTACATAGAGTGTAATGGGGGGAAAAGGCAAATTATTCTAAGTGAATATTTATATTCAGATAAAAAAGAGCTAATAAAACTGAACATGACCATGTAATTAACTCCCACAATACCTTGTGCTGTTAAAACTAAGGCCTAGGGAGAAGTTTTTCTTGGGGTCACCCACTGAAATAGAAAACAAATTCTCCTCCTTCCATGCCCCATGTTTTGCTTTTTTGGTTTTCTTTTTCCCTGGCTTAAACAGCAAATCATCCATTGGACCTGGCATTTTAAAAGTCTGCTGGATTTGTGTATTTAGTGAAGAGTAGGAGGTTTTCTGAGAAGGAAAAATAGCTTCATGAAACCATGGACATGGCTGTGGAGAAGGCGTTGGTAAGTCAGGGTTCATACTGGGAAAAACAAGTAAAGAAACACGCTGTAAATTCTAAGCGTCCTTGCGTAAATATCACTTGGGGGCAAAGTGGACTCACTGCAAATTCTTGAAAAACATTTTTCTTTGGAATCAGAAATTTGGCAGCAGGATTTTTGAGTCTTGGAACTGAAGCATCATTGAATAGTGAGGACTGGAAATGCTATTTGAGTCATCAGCATAGAGGAAATATTTAAAGCTATCAAAATGTATGAACACTCTGGGAAAGTGAACTTAAAGGGTCATGGGTAAATACATGGCCATAGAGAATCTTAGACATATGGGATAGTAGGAGGGAGAGAAGAAATCAAAAGGGATAGAGTAGGAAGAAAACACAAAAACTGAAAAGGGACTCAGGTTTGTGCAGTGTCAGAATAACAAATGAAGAGATTATTTCAAGGAGGCATCTATTAGGTTGAAATGGTGGAGAATTAAAATAGACTCTTGGATTTTGTGAGAAAAAAAAAAAAAAAAAAATTTGTGAGCTTCCAGACTCAGTATTTTCAATAAACTACAGCTTTTCAAATGTTTCAAAGAGGAAAAGTGAGTTAAAGTATTTTTTATTCTATCTCTTATTTATTCAACAAATATTTGTTGAACAGCTAGTCTATGCTAGGCATATTCTATTGATGTTTTTCATGTTATATATGACCAACCCCTTGGAAAATCTCCCTCATCCTTAAGTTTTCCTGCATGCTTATGTCTAACATGTATATAAACCCTCCCTTCCATGCTATTCAATGATGCTGTGATCTGTTTGGATCATTCAGTGCAAGAAACCCTCAAACAAAATGATCTTAGGTGATTTATATTTTTGGAATGTATTTTGGCCCCAGTTGGGAAAACAATACTTAAGTATCTTTATTAAATTCCTGTTAAATTAGTTGGAAGAACAATTATTCTGGCTCGTGAGAAAGTTTTCATTTTTCTTTGTACAGTTAGAGCAAGAATTTTAGAATAAGGACTTTGCTGTATGTCTTTTATAATCTCCTTTTATGGTTTGGTAAAATATGACAGGCTAGCAGCACAAGAAGTAAAGCTCAATTTGCATGAATATTCCTTTAACCCCTGAAACAAATACCTTTATGCAATGGATGCTTCTTAACCTCCAGGTCAGTGTTCTCAAGAGACACTAAAATTCTTTTGAAAAGGAATAAATAAGAAGGCACAGTGTGTGATCATAAGGAAGGGGTAATTTAAAATACAACCAAGATCATTTTACTCACTTCGTCTTTTGATACAGGCTCTTAAGAGACTTAGGCTGGGCTTCTATGCCAAAGAATGTTCAATTTATTTACTCATTTCACAACTATTTATTGAGACCCTACTAGATGCTAGGTAATGGGGCTAAAGAAGTGACTTGGAGACACAAGCTTATTTTTTAACTGCCCTCATTTTCTTTTCTGTTTTTTTTGAGATAGAGTTTTGCTCTTGTTGACTAGGCTGGAGTGCAATGGGGCGATCTCAGCTCACTGCAACCTCCGTCTCCCGGGTTCAAGTGATTCTCCTGACTCAGCCTCCCGAGTAGCTGGGATTACAGGCACACGCCACCCATGCCTGGCTAATTTTGTATTTTAGTAGAGACAGGGTTTCTCCATTTTGGTCATTCTGGTCCCCAACTCCCGACTTCAGTTGATCTGCCCACCTCAGCCTCCCAAAGTGCTGGGATTACAGGCGTGAGCCACCGCACCCGGCCAACTGCCCTCGTTTTCTAATGTGTAGAGTTATACAACAAATAACTAGTTTGGGGTATTTAGAACTACTAGTAAGAAAAATAAAGAAAGATAAGGAGATAAAAGTAAAGTGTGTAAAGTGTATATGGGGCTAGGTGATGATTTATTACATATACAGTGTGATTAGCAAAAGAATCTCTGAAGCAGTAATAGCAGAGCCTGGACTTGAATGAGCAGAGCAAATGAGCAATGAAAAAATAATCTGCAGAAAAAAGTTCAATAGAGAATAAACAGCCCAGCCTGGCCAACATGGTGACTCTCCATCTCTACTAAAAATACAAAAATTTTCCAGGAATGGTTGTACATGTCTTCCAGCTACTTGGGAGGCTGAGGCAGGAGAATTGCTTGAACTTGGGAGGCAGAGGTTTCAGTGAGCAGGGATTGCACCACTGCACTCCAGCCTGGGTGACAGAATGAGACCCTGTCTCTAAAAAAAAGTAAAAGAAAAGAAAAGAAACAGCAAGATAATGCCCTCCAGAGGGGATGAACTATGGGCACATTGGAGAAACAAGAGACAGTGTTGGGAGGGAGTGATAGAAATCAAGCTCAAGAAGTATTAAAGTCTAAATCATTAGGGCTTGGTCATTAATTGGGATTTTATTCTAAGGGTGATGAGAGTCCACTAGAAGGTTTTGAATAAGGAAGTGATGCTATCTGATTGTATTTTTAAAATATCAGAGAGCTACTTCACGTAAAGAGAAGTGGAACAACAGTTAAAGGAGAGGAATCAGTTAAGAGGCTGTTACAGCTGCATAGGAGACAGTAAATTGGAATAAGGTGGTAGCTATCAAGGGCCTAAGTGGTTCCAATCTAGATGGCCATTATAATCAGTAGTAAATTGAGAGCACAAGCCTATGTTGGGAGGGGCATAGATTTTATTACAAATAATAGCAGAGTAGTTTTACTTCAGTGTGGTGGTGATTGGGCCAAAGCAGAAAAAGAACTGTAATCATGTGGACACAGGTTACCCAGTAAAACAGTGGTAGGGATGTTGATAACGGGAGAGGCTATGTGGACATTTTCCAACTTAAACAATTGCTCGATTTACAATTTTTCAACTTTAAGATGGTGTGAAAGCAACATGCATTTAGTACTGTCCTCCATTTGCTGTGGGGTTAAGTCCAGATAAACCCAGGCTAAATTAAAAATATCAGAAGTTGAAAATGCACGTTGGACTTACTGTTTTTAATTTAGTACAGTTTTATCTGGATGTAGCCCTATCCTAAGTCGAGGAGTATCAGTACATGTGTAGGGCAGAAGGCATATGGGAAATCTCTGTACCTGCCACTTAATTTTTCTGTGAATCTTAAACTGCTATGAAATACGAAGTGTGGTTGTGTGTGTCTATGTTCAACACAATTTTCTTATTTTAACGCTAACCAGACACAAAACAATACGACTTCAGATGATGAAAAAACATCAGTAGAATCGAGTAATACTAACACTTCTTGATTTTACAGACCTGAAAAAGAAGGACCAATGTTGTAATGTCATCTTTTTTTATTTCATCAACTAAGGATATTTTAAAACAATAAGAAGATGTTATTTCTTCTAAAGTTCATTTATTTAATTGAATTTTTCTGCTTTTATTACAAACTTAACTCATTATTTTTATTTTTCTTGCTGTTCATTGGACAAATAAAAGCTTCATCTTCTTGTCCCCAAACACTGATTACTTGGATCCTAATACTTGGTATATTAGTTTTGAAGTCAGTTTAGTACTTGCAGAGTTACT
Source organism: Homo sapiens (assembly GCF_000001405.40). Lineage (NCBI taxonomy): Eukaryota > Metazoa > Chordata > Mammalia > Primates > Hominidae > Homo > Homo sapiens. The sequence continues at coordinate 137,657,029 of NC_000004.12, read as the reverse complement.
CATAGCGTTGCTTTTACACTAATTTTTATACTAAAATTAGGGCTGACAGATAATATGTGGAACATCCAGTTAAATTTCAGACAAACAAGAGTTTAGGACTGTAAGTGCATTTCCAAATAGTCATAGAAGTACTTGTATTTTAAAAATTATCTCATCTACACAGAGTTGAAATTTAACTGGGTTCTGTATTTTTCTTGCCAAATATGGCTATCCTAAGTTATTTCAGGAAGCTCTTATGTTCATTTTCCTTTGTGGTTTACTCTGAATTGCTTGCTGTCAAAATGTATCTATACTGTCACCAAGAGTATACATGTACACTACAATTTTTAGACTCCTAAAAAATTATTATCCTCGTTCCTTAACCAATTTCAGTTTCCTTATCAGCATTTTCTATTATAAAAAGCATTGCAGTGGCCGGACACGGTGGCTCACGCCTGAAATGCCAGCACTTTGGGAGGCCAAGTGCCTCCTCACGAGGTCAGGAGATCGAGACCGTCCTGGACAACATGGTGAAATCCCGTCTCTACTAAAAATACAAAAATTAGCTGGGTGTGGTTGTGTGCGCCTGTAATCCCAGTTACTAGGGAGGCTGAGGCAGGGGAATCACTGGAACCTGGGAAGTGGAGGTTGCAGTGAGCCAAGATCATGCCACTGCACTCCAGCCTGGCAACAGAGCAAGAGTCCATCTCAAAAAAAAAAAAAGCACAGCAGTGTTTTTACTGGAGTGGAAGCATCTTAACTTCTAACCACTGTCAGTGACAGGTACAATGGTGCATATGAATTGATGCATCTGAAGCCTGTAAGTCAAGTGCTACAAGGAAAGGCATCCCTAATTCTTTTTTAAGATGAATTTATTAGTAGTTTGACCAAGCTAGCACTTGGAATAATACATTCTCTTTCTTCTTGGATTCTGTGTCCACATCATACACTTCCTGCAAGGCGTGAAATGACTAGCTGCATGTTTTTAAATAATTGGGATGGAGTGAGTTTTCTTCACTCATGTACACATGATTATTGCTCCATTGCTCTTGGTATTGCTTTGAATATTTTTCTTCCTTACATTAAATGCAAATACAATAGACAATTTGGAGATATTTTCCAGCTAGTGAATAGCACAAGACTTACAATTCTTGAAAAGAAATGCTTCTAATCCAAACACACTTCTGCATTTTTATGTCTGATTCTATTTTCTGTTTTAAAATGGCATCTTGAATGATCTTCATACAGAAGCAATCTTTATCCCTATTCAAAGCTGCTGATTTTGCAGGAAAGGAGAAGAAAGGCTATTCTTTAAATTATACCTTTCATCAACCTGAAATAAACACAAGTAGTAAGTCTGGAAGTCTTTGAAAAGAGAGACAGAGACACAGAACAAGAGAAAGAGAGAAATTTTATTTCCTTGCAGTTTGCAGATGTTAATTACCCTGAATATTGTAAAGGAAGCTGAAGCAGCTGGCATGGATTTTTGACAACCACATTTAAATTGTTTATAAGAAACTCTGTCTGGTAAACTTGGGTGTTTTAGATGCAAGGAGAGATTGCGGCATCTGAAATCTGAGAAAGAAAACCAAAAGCATTGGGTATGCTCAGAGATTATGCAGTAGGATGCAAGGTCATTTATAAACAGAATGAAAATCAGACAGGTCAAAGCTAGGCCTCTTGAACAAACATTGAATAGTTATACCATGTTCAATGTGTGCAAATCTTGAATGAAACTCATTATAGAGATCTATAGAGAGAAAGGCCAAGGCATATCATCCTAAAAAGAAAATATTAATATAAATTTCTGAAATCCTTATTCAGAAATGCATAAGAAAGCAAAGGAATTTTATGGAAGATATTCACCACCAGCAAGAAAGTCATACTTCAATCCTCCAGAATAGATTACTTCTGATTTGAAAGGTAAATATTATAGCATATCATTTAATAGTTTATGAGAAATTTGTTATACTGATATACCATCTTCACCACTTGGGGGAACTTTTGCTTTTTCAATTCAGATTTTCCTAAAGAAATAGAATACCATGAGAAGAGACAATCTACTATGACACAAGATTGTGCCATAGAGGAGACAGAACTTGGGTTTCCAGGCACCTATTTATATATGCCTTATAAGTGTATGTCGACTGTCTCTTCTATACAAGACACAAGTCATAGACGCAGAAGAGGTAATGGAGAAAGCTTACCTGACTGTGTAGAGTTCATGGTCTTGGGGCCGATCAAGTGTGGGTTTAGTATACTGACTGTGACCTTGTGCAAGTTATTCAAGTTCAACCTCAGTCTGTTCTTTAAAAAAAGGAAAAGATAGATGTATAACATTCAAGTGATTTTTTTTAATTCTCAAAATCAACTTTATTGGTATATACTTTTTATACAATATAATGTAGGTCTTTTTGTGATGACTTTTGATAAATGTGTACAGTAGCATAACTGCCAACACTAGCATGATACAGAATATTTGCATTTCCCTAAAAAGTTCCCGGTTGCCACTTTGTAGTCATTTCCTCCCTGAAGCCCAGTCCCTGGCAACCACTGATCTTCTTGTTACTGTAGTTTCATTTTTTAAGAATTCATATGGGCCGGACCCAGTGGCTCACGCTTGGAATCCCAGAACTATGGGAAGCTGAGGCGGGCGGATCACGAGATGGGGAGATCTAGACCATCCTGGCCAACATGGTGGAACCGCGTCTCTACTAAAAATACAAAAATTAGCTGGGTGTAGTGGTGTGTGCCTGTAATCCCAGCTACTTGGGAGGCTGAGGCAGAAAAATCACTTGAACCGGGAGGTGGAGGTTGCAGTGAGCCGAGATCGCACCACTGCACTCCAGCCTGGCCACAGAATGAGACTCCTTCTGTCTCAAAAAAAAAAAAAAAAAAAGAATTCATATGAAGGCAATCATATGTTGCATACACATTGGTGTCCAGCTTCCTTCACTTAGAAAGCGTTTAAAATTTACTCTTGTTGTTTTGTGTGACATAATTACTCCATCGTATGGATATTCAGGTGTTGTTTTGATAATTAAGCAGGAAAGTTTAGGTAAAGGCTAGTGAGCAGTTTATGATTGGTAGAAATTATTGAATGAGTGTTAATTATTAAATAATAAGTAATTATCTGACTTTATTTTCTCTCAAGATTTAAGGAATGATATAATATTCAAGAAGTAAAACTTTGGGCTAATGCACAGAAGCTTTATTTATAAATAAAATGAGAAATTTGAAAATTTAGACATGATCTAGAAAATTTGAGACTGCCCTTGATTAAAATAGCAGGCATGTTCTTTAGACTGATTTATCCAGTCACATGTCTTGTCTCAATTCTATTTTCACTCTGTGTGTGTAGATAATACCACATTTAGAAATATATAATCTCCAAGGGTCAGTTTTTATTGTCACAGACATGACAATTTATGCTGTTGCAACTTCAGCAATCAAAGACTCTGTTAATGGCATCATAAAACTTGGCACACCATTTTTTTTTTCTACAGGGAAGAAAATTAAGAAGCTTAATTTCAATATATAAATGGAACTCAGAAAAGTGATCACAGATAAATCTAGAAGTTATTTTCAGAAAGAGGTTTCATTTTCTATGTCTTATTCACTAAGAGCATATGTCTCTGAAATTAACTCATTTTTTATGTGTGATCAAAATCCAAAGCAATATTCATGTTATGGTTTTTATAATCCCCAAATTATATAGTTTCTTCTGTGCCTGGAACTGGGAGGCTAAATTTGGGGGGAGCTTGACCTGTAATGTTTTTCTAATTCAAAAGAGAATATACACTAGCTCAGAGTTTGGAATTTGGATTTGGATTTTGCTTCTGAGCACTGGTGATTGGGATTTGCAGTTTGCAACCTCAGCTCTCAAATAAATCCAGGATTTATTATTGAGATCAGTAGACTGCCTGCAATGCAACCCTTAGGCTTGCTACTTACACTTAATACTACTTAGCTGAAAACAGCTTAATCAGAACTTGTGGGAATGCCATTGCCTTTTGTATGTTAAAAATTTACTCCATCATCTATTGCATTTGTACCACAAATATTATTTTGCATGTTGGTTTTACTATGACTGTTATTGATTATCAGAAGTCTTAGCCCCAAATTTTGATTTTTAACCCTTCATATACTACTCCTCTTTTGGAGACAGTTGATCATTATTGTGTACCAGCCACAGCATTAGTGGAGGACCTGCATTAGATACATGTGTCCTCTTTTAATCCCATCTCCTCAGTGTATAAAAGAGAAGAGGAACATCAGTAGGCTGAGCAATGGCTGTCATTTGCATCAAGGAATAGAGCCAGCATTCATTTTTTATTTCAAGATAGGTCCATTTCATCTATTTGAAAAGCTACTATTAAAAGGCTTGTAATCCAATGCCTGCAGCTGAGAATAATATAAAATAAAATAATCTTCTTCACTCTTTCAACACCAGCATGAAGAAGTGCCAAGAACTCTTCTCTCATTATTGACATTATCATCAGGAACCAATGGGAGGGTGGTGGTGGTATTTTTTTCATATACTTCATGCTTTTATAATTTTCTTTTGGCTCAGTTTGTGGATAATGGAGGTGAGTTGTGAACAAATAGCCTCAAAAAGGCATAATTACTATGAAAAAAACTGATGGGGAGACGGAGATCTTGTCTCTATAACACAAACTTTCTCAATAATATAAAGCTCTTTGATATGGCTTGCCATGATGCATTTAATTAGCAAAATAGTTCTTCTATCATTCCATTTCCAAAGACATTTTCTATGAATATATATTGTATTTTACTATCATTGTATTTCTTTCAACCTATAATCACACTTTGTTTTCTTATTTTTGTTCCACCTCACCATAGGATACATTTCTTAGGGAAATCAGTGGTAAGTGGCTTTGAAACTTTTTTAGTTTCATTTTACTATGACTATAGTAAAAGTTACATTTTACATTACAATTGGATACACAGATATATGCTTAAATTAAATAAAGTTAAACATACAAGTTAAATGAAAGTTAAGAAATAGCTTTATAAAACAAAACTTACCCTAAGCATGAGTAATGCACTCTGTTATTTTTGTATTCTATTCTATTTGGTTTTATTAAAAACGGCTCTTAATGACCTACTATATTGATCTCACAACTCACTAATGTTCTGCAAATCATGTGTTACAAAACACTGATATAAGTGATAATGTTTGTATCATCCAACAGATTGGTAGAATCTATGTAGACTTGTAAAATTTGAATTTAGACTTTTAAAATATAGCCCCCCCCATAGTATATACTTTGTCCTTATTTTAGTAGGAAATAAAAATTGTTAATTTTGTTTTACTGTTGTCACATTGATATGTACATGTGAATACACATACAAACACACATATAATGTAAATTATATATGTATATGTGTGTTTGAATTCATTTGGATGTTTCTTATCATATGCTTGTATTATGCCTATAAAAATATAAATACAAATGAATAAATTGAGCTGGATTACTTGTAAACTTCTGTTTAGTTTTAAAACCAAGCATTCTATTACTTACCTTCAGTGAATTATAACCACGTAGTTGTTTCTCTAGTGGAGGTAGCAGAATTGCCCAGCTCAGTGGGCTTTTTTTGTGGGGTGTAGGGGTGGTGGGGGAGGATCTTACTCTATCATCCAAGCTGGAGTGCAATGGTGCGATCACAGCTCACTACAACCTCTACCCTCCTGACTCAATCACTCCTGCCATCTCAGCCTCCTGAATAGCTGAAACCACAACCACAGGCATGCACCACCATGCCTGCCTTTTTTTTTTTTTTTTTTTTATTGTATTTTTAGTAGAGACAGGGTCTTACCATGTTGCCCAGGCTGGTCTTGAACTCCTGAGCATAAGCTATTTGCTTTCTTTGGCCTCCCAAAGTGATGAAATTACAAGCGTGAGCCACCATGCCCGACCTCCACAGGCTTCTTCTTGATTGCTGTCATAAGATGCTTAGGGTTTATATTTTTTTAAATATCCAATCAGAGCTAATTTGTGGTACAGGTGATGGTTTGGAAAAGTGCAAGCTTTGCTAGAATCCAACACATAATCTCTACTTAATGTCTAGCTAGCAGCCTCTAACTACAGCCTTAACATTGTTTTTTAATTTCTTTTTTTCAGTAAAGAGATCCATGTTTTTATTTGTTAAGTCTGAAACTTCTTTATATGACAAAGTGAAATGTGAACCATTATATACAATACTTTCCTCTATTGCATTAATTTATTTTTTTATATCTTCATTTAGAAGTTTTATATATCTTTTAAGCTTTAGGTTCACAGCAAAATTAAGAAGATACAGAGATTTCCCAAATTGCTCTTGCCCTCACAAATGGTTAGCCTCCCCCATTATCAACGTTCCCCACAAGGGTAGTATGTTTGTTACCATTGGTGAACTCACACTGACACATCATAATCACCCAGAGTCCACAGTTTACTTTAGGGGACACTCTTGGTGTACATTCTATGGGTTTGGCCAAATGTATAGTGATATGTACCCATCAATATAGTATCATACATAATATTTTCATTGCTCTGAAAATCGTCTGTATTGTATCTATTCAACCCATCCCCCACTCCACCTCATCAACCACTGATCATTTTAGTGTTCCCATCATTTTGCCATTTCCAGAATGTCATTTAGTTGGAATTATATAGTATACAGTGAATGAATAAACTGTAGGACATTGTGGTTGTTTATTCATTCATTGAATGAATCATGTTTGTTTATTCATTCATTGAATGAATAAACTGTAGGACATTGTGGTTTTTTCCAACTTTTGGCAATTATAAATAAAACTGCTTCAAACATCTGTGTGCAGATTGTAGGACATTATGGTTGTTTATTCATTCATTGAATTAATTGTGGTTGTTTATTCATTCATTGAATGAATAAACTGCAGGACATTGTGGTTGTTCCCAACTTTTGGCAATTATAAATAAAACTGCTTCAAACATCCATGTGCAGATTTTTGTGTGGACATGTTTTCAATTCCTTTAGGTAAATACCAAGGAGTACAATTGCTGGATCATATAGTGAGATTATGTTTAGTTTTATAAAAAGCCACCAAACTGCCTTTCAAAGTTGCCGTTATCATTTTGCATTTCCGCCAGTAATGAATGGGAGTTCCTATTGCTCCACATCCTTGCTAGCATTTGGTGTTGTCAGTGTTTTGGATTTCAGCCATTCTAATAGTTATTTTAATTTACATTTCCCTGATGACATATAATGTGGATAATTATTTAAATGCCTATTTCCCATCTTCTTTGATGAGGTGTCTGTAAAGATCTTCGGTCCATTTCTTATTCTGGCTATTTATTTTTTTAATTGTTGAATTTTTAGAATTTTTGCAAATTTTGGATAACAGTTCTTTAACAAATATGTCTTTTGCAAATATTTCCTCCCAGTCTTTGGGTTGTTTTTTGTTGTTGTTGTTGTTGTTGTTGTTCTCTTGACATTGTTTTTTGCAGAACAGAAATTACATTACATTAATTTTTCAAGAACAAGTATTAGTTAAGAGATACTAAAATGTGGTTAACTCTTAATAATAATTCCAATACATGGATAAATTTCCCTTGTATGTTCTTTTAAATACCCTTTTCAGTAAGTGATATGTAATAGAAAGTAATGAAAAGCATCATAAACATAAAACTCCCCTGAATCTGTCACTGCAAACTCTTTTTTTTTTTTTTTTTTTTTTTTGAGACGGAGTCTCGCTCTGTCGCCCAGGCCGGACTGCGGACTGCAGTGGCGCATTCTCGGCTCACTGCAAGCTCCGCTTCCCAGGTTCACGCCCTTCTCCTGCCTCAGCCTCCCGAGTAGCTGGGACTACAGGCGCCCGCCACCGCGCCCGGCTACTTTTTTGTATTTTTAGTAGAGACGGGGTTTCACCTTGTTAGCCAGGATGGTCTCGATCTCCTGACCTCATGATCCACTCACCTCGGCCTCCCAAAGTGCTGGGATTACAGGCGTGAGCCACCGCGCCCGGCCCACTGCAAACTCTTAACATTTTGTTCACAGAAGTTTTGATGTAAAAACTTTCAGGTTTTCTCATAAATTGTACTTTAGACATGATGGATAAGATGTCTCTATTAAATTGGCTGATCCCTATTCAAGGCCTAGAATTTATTGTTTGACCAAACGCATAAACACATACAGCGATATGAACTTTGTGTTTCTGTGCTGTATTTAAGCCTGCTTAGACATCAAAGATTCTCATTATACTGTTGTGAACTGAACTACAGAGCTAAAGAATAGCCTTTTGTTGGGAGAAATGGAGCTTAAAAGAAACAGCTAAGTGGTTATGCTTTGCACTGTGAGACACCAGATTTCATATTCAGTACCATGAGATGGTCTTTGAAAAGCCTTCATTTCGTGTGCCTGTTGCAGTGAGATAGCTTGTCTCACACAGGCTAGGAAAGTCCTAGGAAGTTGTGAGACTGTTAATATACATACCCATACCTCTCAGTCCGTGAGAGTAGAGAAATTAAGTCCAATTGGAAATGTATATTGAATATTTATTCATGTAAATGACTTGAGGGTAAAGTTTTGAATCATTGTTTTTACAGCATTGGTTACATGAAAACCGTGTGACAACCTTGGAAGTCTGAAAGAGCAGGAGAGAGGCTAAGCACACACATATTGTGATTTTAAGAGTCTCAAGGTATGCTTCTCTATCTCTTTATACAACTTCAAAAAGTTCTTATATTTACTTGTAAATTCTCTATATACCACATTAAGTGATGCATTATTACTCATAAATCTGTAAACTACACCAAGATAAAGAATAACCGAAAAATAAAATAAGCTAATATGTGCTCAGCACTAAACTGCCTTGTTTGACAAAGGAATACCTAAGACTACTATGTTTATTTTAGTCATGAACAACTCACCTACAATGGTAATTCTGTCCAAAGTGAAGGGATGTGAGAAGTAAGTTGCAACAAGAATTCTAAATTGAGCTACTTTAACTTTTTAAACACATCCCAGAATTTGCTTAACTACGTTTTCCTTTCCAAAGCATTCCTGCAGATGCCAAAGGCATAAATAAGCTATAATAGAGTTGGAGATTCTATAAGTGTATCATGAAATCAGGAAGAGTGTCAATGTGGATTCAAACCTTCAAGTGTTAAAAACTTGGAATTGTATGATTTCACTTATTACTATCAAATCTAATAAAGTAACAGCTGTCATCTAATTAATTATCTAATTAATTAAAATGACATTAATTCAATTATTGTTATATTTCAGTCATGACCAGTTATGCATCAGTCAGGAAAATGGAAACCATGCTAGGTAATTTGAACAGAAAAAGGTTTAATGCAAAAATTTGGGGGCTTAGAAAAATCACTAAAAGTCTTAAGGAAGTGAAAGTTGGGGTGTGAGTGGGATGTCACAAGGTTTCAGTTTGGATGCCTCACTTTAGTCCTGAGAGTCAGAAATGTGTTGCTTCCACCCCAACTTAGAATACTGTAGGAAACAGGTGCCAGTGACAAAGCTGACCAGTAACCTCAAAACTGGGTGTTGCAGAGGAGAAGTGGAGTTCATCTGGCTGTAATAAAACTTCAAATCTGCCAAAGCCCATATGCCCAGTGATCTCTACAGCTAGATCAGATGCCATCAGGTGGCAGCACGGTTGGCATGTTTGTGCTTGGTATAAGAAATTTACCAACTAAAGCAATTACTCTTAGAAATATCCTTGAAGAAAATTCACTAAAGCATTATCTATGTCATCTATGTTTTAAGAGTAAATATTTTGGTCAATAATGTAGGAGCAAAGTATCTCATCTATGTTGTAAGAGTAAATATTTTGGTCTATAATGTATGTTATTTTAATTGGATCGAAAACTCTTAAAAGAGCTTTTTATTACTATATAACAAATTACCACAAACTTAATAGCTTAAAACACCTCATGTGGTATCTCACAGTTTTCATGAGTCAGGAGTCTGGGCACAGCTGAACTGGGTCCTCCACTCAGGATCTCACAGACTGCAATAAAGGTGTCAGCCATCATTGAGGGCTAATGTGAAGACTTGACTGGGGAAGAATCCACTTCTAAGCTTATTTGATTGTTGGTAGAATTAATTTTCTTGCCGATGTAGAACTCATGGGAGCTTGTGTCTTTTTTTTTTCACTTTAATTTTTGGAGCTTGCGTTTTTAAGACTTCTCTGAACTCAGAGAAAGCCTAAACTTGCTTTTAAATGACTCACCTGATTATACATCAGACCCAACCCAGATTAAGGTTCTTAATTACATTATTTAACCTTTACTGTATAAAGTAACAATCATGGGAATTATATCCCTTGATTCTGCCCATGATTCATATTCTTAGATTCTACTCACACTTAAGGAGAAGAGATTATAAAAGGGCATGGGTCATTGTGGATCCTTTTAGAATTCTGCCTACTGTAACTGTTAAAAGAGAGATTTTACTTTACTGGGGTTTTCTGTCTCACACTGAAGGACACACCCTTTCTAGGGTTTTCTTCCCCCCATTGGCTTTATTAAATCATTAGGATAATAAATTTCTGAATGGGAGATTATAAGAAATATTACTTTTCTCCAAAGCGGAGTGATAATTTAGATTGGTATAATTTAATTCCAGAATTTCAGATTACATTATTCCAGAACTAGAAGTTGCTGTAAAATGCACCTTGCTATTTTCCATTATTAAAAAAAAAAGAAACTGAGAACCAGAATATGGATTGTACATTGTCATAGCAAAAATGTGGACATCTCCTTGGGTAAAACTGGGAAGTATTTACTTATTATAAAAATAAGGAAAAAATTCAAGTGGTTACAAAAATTAAATGGCCTTGGATTTTAGACTCACTGCTTTAGGATACATAAAGTTATCACTTGACTGCTCTGTCCTGATGAAGACTTCGGAATATAGGTTGACTATTCCTTATCGGATATGTTGGGACAATAATTATTTTCAATTTTGGAATTTTTGGATTTTGGAATATTTGCATATATATAATGGGATATCTTGGGGATGAGGCCCAAGTTTAAATACAAAACTCACTTATGTCTCATATATATATTATGTAAATAGTGAGGATATAATTTTATACAATATTTTAAATAATTTTGAGCATGAGACAATGTTTTGAGCATGAAACAAAGATATTTGTTAAAACAAATAATTTTAATAAAATTGTACTGATTTTGAGCATGTGTATATTGAATCATCATAAGACAAAGGTATCACTATCTCAGCCCCCCATGGGGACAATCTGTGATTCTTTAGCATCACCATCATTCCTGACTCTGAATTTATATGTTACTCATAAGCAGTCATTTTTGTACACTTACACACACATAAGTAAGTACTTAACAGTAAAATATATGATATACCATTAATACAGTGAAAAAATAATGTGTTCAGAGTAAGTAAGCAGCACAGTCATATCACCAGATGCCTATATCAGCTGTTAAACAACAGCAGCAACAAACAACAGCAGGATTTCAACCTCCACCTATGATCCTGTGTTTTGATTAAAAGGTTAGTGTACACTGTATGTTTTCAGGTGAGAAGAAACATCAGAAGCAGTTGAGAGACCAGGACGTGGGTCCTCAAAGGATGAACAGAAGTTCTTTTGGATAACATTTTAAAATGTTTCCTCCAGAGTTATCTGCCTCATTAACAATGGTTTGAGTCTCAAGAGTCTCTCTTCGATTTTACAAACATGATTTGTTGCTCTGCTATAAATGCATGCTGCTCTAGTCCTTCAATAAACCCACAACATGTTTTCACCATTTTGCCTGTAGACACTTTTTCTGCAGTGTTAACAACGTCACCATTATCATCACTATTATCACAATCACCTTGATTCAAAGCCATTTCACCATCAGTCAATGAATGAATAACTGGAACCTCATGCCTCATGATCCGTGTTAGAAACTTGAATACACACTTCTTTCAGCTTACTAATAGACTCTAAAGCAGGGGTGTCCAATCTTTTGGCTTCCCTGGACCACATTGGAAGACCAATTGTCTTGGGCCACGCATAATATACACTAACAATAATGATAGCTGATGAGCTAAAAAAAATTGCAGAAAAACTCATAATGTTTTAAGAAAGTTTATAAATTTGTGTTGGGCTGCATTCAAAGCCATCCTGGGCCTGTGGGCTGCAGATTGCACAAGCATGCTCTACAGGTGTATTTTTTATACATATAAGGAGGTCAGACATCATTTTTTTTTCTCACTTACCATACAAAATCCTTCAAAGTCATGACCTTGTTTATCGTTATCACTGAACATAGTCACAAGCCAGAGATTGTGCCAGGCATGCACAACTGTCTTTATTCACTCTGTTCCAAGTATTGGCAACAGCATAGATGGCATCTTTCTTGCTAAACTCCTTTTGAAAACCTTCCACACGCTCACCCTGTTCACTGATGCTAGCCTGCTGTTCAAGAAAGTGTTTTTATATTTGCTCTTCATTGATCTAAGGACACCCTAGTCACATGGATGAATTATGAAGTCACATTTGGGAGAAAGTACGTGGCATAACCATTATTTTTTATGAGAATTTCAGTTGTAGGATGAGCAGAACAGCTGCTAAGGAATAACAAACTCTTTCAGTTATCATCCAGTCCAGCTTTTCTGCATAAGCATGAGCCACTGGTAAAAATGTTCATGAAACCATTTAGAAAGATGTCCCTGGTGAGTCATGCCTTTTTGCTAGCATAACAATGGACTGGTAAAATATTTACTCCTTGAAAACAATGAGAATTAAAACTTTTTCCTATTACAGCAAATTTACAGTAATACTAATACATGGGTGAGCCATTAACATATTCTAGCACAGTTATTTGGCTGCTGCCATTTTTAATTACTTTACGGGCTCTTTTATCAACTATAGTCCGTGTCTTTCTGGAACAATAATCCCAAGACAGCAATATTTTATCAGCCAAATAGCCTTGTTCTGGCATCAGATTTTCATCAGCGCAACCTTGGCAAACTTGTCAGAATTTATCAGTGGCTTTGTGATCAACAGATGTTTTATTGTCACAAATCTTTAAAAATATAATGCTGCGTCTTTTCTTAAATATCTGCAACCAGCCTGTTGAATGTTCATACTTCCCTTCAATTTTCAGTTGATTGTGATAGATCCTTGCTCTTTTCATGATCAGCATACCATCATGTCATATGTTCACCGTTTTGCTGATGGATCCACTCTTTTAATACATGATTGAGATGTTCATTTTTATTTTTCTGCAGTGCTTTTCTATTTTTCATTAACTTCTGTTCATCACTTTTAACATAGAACATCAATAGTTTATCCTTTGGTTTCTTTGGGTCATATATGGTGGACATTCCAACACCATACTGTTCTATAAGATGTTTCACACTTACACTGCTGTCCAGTGTTTTTCCAGCAGCTTGACTTTCTGTACTATAAATAAACATGAATACTTCCTTTTTTATATCACTGTTATCAACAGGGGTATCTGCAAAACTTTTTAATGTTTTCAGCAATATCTTTACAATATAGAGATGAAAGTAATCCGAAAACAAAAACAAACAAAAAACAGTGAGTAATGCATGTAGGTCTTGGCCCCATGTGAGGTGTCATGGGGAACCTGCCATTGGGGCATCTGGCCTACACAAATGTCATTTTATTACCCTTTGTGGGTGTGCTTCTATGGGGAAAACTGGGCATGCATGGAAAAGATATATGACAGCTGAAGGGGGCTGAGAGGATCTTTTTTTTTCTTGGGGATGCTGAATTAAATGTGTGTTTTGTGCCTGAATTTGGACTGTGATCTGTCACATGAGGTTAGGTGTAGAATTTTCCACTTGTGAAGTCATTTTGGCACTCAAAAAGTTTCAGATTTTGGGATATGTTGGATTTCTGATTTTCAGATTAGGGATACTCTACCTGTACCAAGCAGTAAGGCTTTTAATAAGACCCTTGATCAAATGATCAATCTCTCCTCTGCTATCCAGGTCCTATTAAATACCTAGCAGAAAGGAATCATTGTTATAGGATGATATCTTAAAGAGACATATTACCTATTTATTCAATTATTTTAGACATACAACTGTCTAGAAAGTTTTATCAGCTCTTTAGATGACCACAAAATTACTTTTACTTAATTACTTTCACCTATCCTCTGTCTTACCAGGTTTAGGTCTTTCTGTTTCCACAGATCAATGTAAGAACTAGCCCTTTAGGTCCTATTTCTGTTGTTGTTGTTGTTTTGAGAAATAGAAAGAATTCTGCATATTACTTATTACTTAGTGCCTCTTGAATAATGCTTACCCCGACTAACTTTTTTTTTCAAATTTAGAAGTTGGCAAACACGCACACACATGCGCGTGCACACACACACACACACCCCTCACACCCCAAGTTCCACAGGAGAACCGGTATATTTTATTTCTCATAATAATGAGTTATGATAAACAGCAATTTTTCATCTTTGCCTTGGCTGCCAGAATAGTTAGAACTATCATTATCTTCCTAGGATGAGCCGCTGCCCTGATTTGCCTGGGATTGTTGGGTTCCTTGGGGCTTGAGACTCATTAGTAAAACCAGACAGTTTCAGGCTAATTGGGATGGTTGTTTACTTCTTCTTATAAGAGGAATATATGTTTGTCTTTGAAATTTAAAAATTATACAAAAATAGAAAAAAAAAACGTAAATAAATAACCTAAGTGGGAAATACTATTTGACTGATTGGATTAAGGAACCAGAACTGAGGGTAAGAGAGAATGACTAAAGGAAAGAATTTGAAAGTCATTGATGTGGATGGGGCAGCTGAAGAACAGATGGTCCCTTTATGTGCCATGTAGAGAAAAGTGGGAGACATAGAACAAGTGGTAGGGGAATAAAAGAAAATAGCTTAGCGAATAGGAAAGAAAACTTCTATTTTCATGATTGGCTAAAACTATTCTATTTATAGGAAAGAAAACTTCTATTTTCATGATTGGCTAAAACTCGTCTATTTCTTTTTAATTTTTTATCAATATTTTGTATTTCTCGATAATTTTTTTAATTTTTAAAATTTATTTTCTTTTTTTAATGGAGAACCTCCACTTTTTAAACAGTGTTAAAAATTACTCAGTTATGTAGGTGCTATGTTAGGAGAACAAATCTACACTAAGATATTAATCTACAAAGTTTTGACCTGAGTATTGTCAGTAAAGTGACAAAGCTCTGAGTAGAGATGTTTTGGTTGGAAATGGTGCAGAAAGAATTCCAGCCACTGCTACATGTTGCGAAGTACTCCCTCGTGCCCCTGCATCACCACTTTCTCAGCCTGTATTAAGCCAACATATTGTTTTTCTGTCCAAGTAATTTTCAGTAACACCCACAGAATCCCCAGCGGTGATTGCATCTAACATAACACCTGGCAAAAATTCAACTTAATGTGAGCAAAATGGCATCATAGAACACATGCTTCTGAATAAAACTCTTGCTTCAAATTCAGAAAAGGAGGAAAGGAAATAAAGAAGTCCATGGTTATAAAATTAAGATGTCTTTAGCCACTAATTCTAAGACAAAATAAATAACGACAACATGCATATTTTATAACATGGTTTCAGCATCACTAGGAAAAACAAAATTATACAATTTTACCCAGAGAGCATTGTGATAGCAGTGTGATAGCAGCAGATTAATAATTAAAACCAAGTCTCTTTAAAATGAGCTTGTTCTATCAAATTCAAGAAACATTTAAGAAGTCTGTCTTAGGTTTCAGGAACTGTGCTAACTTCTTTCACTTACATTATTATTTTTAATCAGATGAATTTCACCAAACATAAACGTCTTATAAGTTTTAAATTTCCCTTTGTATCATTACATTATTTATACACTGTAAGTTCACCATTCCACTTAGTTTATCATTCAATGACTGTATCATTTTTTGACAAAGCAGAGATATGAGAGAAAACGGAACTAAAAGTTGCCAGAACAGTTATACCATTTTGCTCAGTTTCTGATTTAATAAATTGCTCTGTCACATGGAAAATTGGTCACCTAAATGTAGATTTTTCATGCACAAGACTTGATGCTCACAAATCCCATTACTACAGAATAGGATCAATGAGGCCTCATTTGAAAATGTGCCCCCTATGGTCTGAGCTGAATCTTGTCATGTGCATTGTCAAATGAATAGTTCCACTGTTGGCTCCATCTCCACAAGCTGACAGCTCAGCCTTGGCTCTGGTATAATGTGTTTTTTTTGTTTTGTTTTTGTTTTAGGTAGAGTTCTTAATCCCATTAAAAGCTATTATAATTCCCTGGCCAATCAGACAGCTTGCTCTTGGTGTGGCTATTCTTTCTGAGTACTAATGCTTTATGAGCAATAGATTTCCATGACATTGATGAGATGACATTATCCTGGCAACATAGTTCCTTTTGTCCAACTGTTGATGCTGCCTTCTTCACCATTTATAAGTCTGGAACACATAGGAAAGTGGTCAAAGAGTTGGAAATAAGAAAACTTTTTCTCCACCCATTATTATTTACGATGTTGTTCTATTTATCCTGTACTTTGTGAAGGCTACCCTTAGTACCAACCCACTTTTCTATTTCTTATTTTAGAATAGAAAAAAAAACACTTTAAAAGAGTAAAATCTGCACTCATATTACGCTGAAGTTTCATGTCCAGTATAATGATTAAGAAAATGGTCTATGACGTTAGATGACTCTGGTTTTGAAACCTGACTCTTTCTTTCATTACCTATATGACTTTAGAAAGCCGCTCAAACTTTCCAAATAGGAGTTACACATCTGCACTGTATAAATAATAATAAATATCTACATCCAACATGTTTCAAGAAGTCAAGGAAATAATGCAAGATGACTTAATATGCCTGTCACATATCAAGTGTGGTCAAATGATTGCCATTATTTTTATTAGAAGGCATAGAAAAGTAATTTAGTTTTTTATGCATCCACAAAATTATTATTAATAGTTTTATTCATTATTAATTAAATTAATTATTAATTAGATTATTATTAATAGTGGTTACCTTCAATAAAGGTAATATTAATACCTTTATTGAAGGTATGAATTGTTATTTTATGACAATTTCTATTAAATTGTTCTATGGTAAAGTGCATTTTTTAAAGAAAGGTCACACAAAACACTTGCGAAGAAAATGTAGAATACTATATTAATAAAAATATTTTAATTTTAGCAAATTTATTCTTATAACATTTACTGAATTTGTTTCCATGGATTTTCCTAAAATCTTGTAATAACTGAAACTTTAAAACATTATTATTCCTGAAGCAAACTATGTAATGACCTATTATTCAGAGATACTTATTTACCCTAGGCACAAATAGATACATACCTAAGGGTCCTCTATAAAAATAACGTATGGGGAGATAAGGAAGTAATTCCTCCCAGAAACTTCCCAGGGGAACTCAAATTATATCCATCAAGAATGAAATAGAAGTCTTAGAAGCACAGAAAACACCTGCAAGATTATGAAACATGGGCCACTATTTTTTTCTATGACAATGTAAAAATCACACATTTTTCAGAGTTCTAACATCACATATGAAAGTAATTGATACTGAGAACCAGTTCTGGCACACTAGATCTGTGGTAGCTTAAGACGCAGATTGATGTATGTATCTTAGAAAGCACTCCGATTCTCACAACAGCACCAGTGTTTTCAAAGAGCTCATGTCCACACCCTTTAAAGCCAAACAAAATAGCACAACATAGAAATCTCATGGCCACTTGTATCTAAAAAAAATAAGAGGAGACATGAATATTGCATAATACAGAGACACCTAGTCAGCCTCCTTCTGGCTTATTTCTGAGAGGGAGACACTGACTAGGACCATGGTGTATAGGTGGTTATGCGACATTTGCATAGGTTTGCCATATAGGATGCAGAAAAGCAGTCAAACAAGAACACCCACTTTCATTCTATAGTTTGTGGTTTGAAGAATAGCCACCACACCACCCTCAACACCACACACATACCTAGTACCAGAGGTTGTTTGTTCGTTTATTTCTTCCTAGGCCAGGAGGAACTTTGAGCCAATTATTTTCTGTTTCTGCAAATAGTAAATTCTTTGGGAAGCCTCATTACCAAATATATCCAAAGATCCCAAAGCCTTACACAAATGAAAGCATGGATTACGTTCAATGTCACCATCTGACTTCCCTCCAGCTCTTATTATCTGTCTCTCAAGTAGAGGGAGAAGATAGCTAGATTTGGGTCCCAGGCAATAACATGGAAGGTGAGCACAAATTATATTAGATAGATGTTGGAATCAGTGAGAGGCATGAAAAGAGGTATGGAGGAGTGAGGAGGTTTCAGAAAAGAGAAAAATGAAAAATGAAGAGGAAATGCAGAACTTAGGTTTTGAACATTTCTAAAATAAGCAAAGTGACCTGAACTACGTGGGTTCACCAGTAAATTGGCATGATCAGGCCGGGCACAGTGGTTCACGCCTATAATCCCAGCACTTTGGGATGCCAAGGTGGGCAGATCACCTGAGATCAGGAGTTCGATACCAGCCTGGCCCACATAGAGAAACCCCATCTCTACTAAAAATACAAAATTAGCCAGGCGTGGTGGTGCATGCCTGTAATCTCTTTAAGTCTTACAAACTCTGTATGAATGCAATTGCCTAAAGATTCCTCAACCCACTGGCAATTGAGTTTTATAAGACCCCACAGGCTATACTCACTCAGCTAATAAATTATTCAACTTTCTGGCCTAGCTTCAGACAATTTTTTTAGTCTTTTTTCTCCAGTTGGAGATTATGCTGGCTGTAGCATATTGCATTACTGACTCCAGTGCTTCACCTGTTGTGGTATGCCTTCTCTTTACTATATGATTCTGTAGTTCCTTCTTCTAGAATCTGAATATAGTATATTTTGTTTCCACTGACTTTGGGTTTGGCCATGTGGCTTACTTTGGCAAATGGAATATGGCAGAAATGATGGTGTGCCAACTCTGGGTCTATGCCTCAGAAGGCTTTGCAACTTTCAAGTTGCTTTCCTAATCCTCTGCCATAGCCTTGAGAGGAACTTGCCTTGGATATCCAGCTTGTCCAAGGGGGATGACTGACATGGAGAAGAGCTGTGTCAGCCTAGGTTAACCATCCCCAAGATATCCCACAGATGCATGAGTTAAAAAATTTTTATTTTGTGTTCTATTGATAACTTGTGGGGTGTATGTTATGCAGGATTATCATAGCAATAATTAACTGGTACACTGAGCCTCCAGAATCAGTCATCTCTTTTGGAGCCATGGGAGTGAGGGCAGCAACAAACCCTTCAGGCTACCTTCCTCTTGGTTGCTTTATTTATCTGTCTCTCTATTCTCTCTACATTAACATAGACACTTCCCTAATCAGTCTACAGATTCCCTTTCTTCAGCTTTGGTTTAAAAAATATTCACTTGAAAAAATAGTGGAGAAAATACATAGTCCATTTTAAGGTAAACAATAAAAAAAACTTTATATTGTCTCCATGTACAATCTCTTACAACTGAACTAATCTGTAATTTAAATCCAGTTTACGATTATTCAAATATGTAGCCACTAAAACAAAACAAAACAAAAGAGACTTACAACTCGCTGTCACATTAGCAATTATACCACTTGGCATGATACATATTCGGATGGGTTAAGAGTGACTAAATTGCACCCTTTTTTGTGTGTGTGTGTGTGTGTGTGAGACACAGTCTTGCTCTGTTGCCCAGGCTGGAGTGCAGTGATGCGATCTCAGCTCACTGCAACCTCCACCTCCCGGGTTTAAGCGATTTTCCTGCCTCAGCCTCCTGAGTAGCCAGGATTACAGGCATGTGCCACCATGCCCGGCTAATTTTTGTATTTTTAGTAGAGATGGGGTTTCACCATATTGGTCAGTCTGTTCTCGAACTCCTGACCTTGTGATCTGCCCTCCCTGGCCTCCCAAAGTGCTGGGATTACAGGTGTGAGCCACTGCATCCAGCCTAAATTGCACTCTTGGATGAATCTAGAGGTATCTTTGGAACTAGGCAGAAGCAGGTTACTCTAGCCAGGCACCAACTAACCTTGTAAGCTTGGGAAGGCTAAGTAACTTTTCCAAACATCTTTTTTTGCCAAAACGTAGATAATATCTATTTTCTCAGTTTACTATGAGTACTAAATGAGAAAGATGTATTTGAGATCATTTGACAAGTTATAGGAATCAGTAAATGGCAGCTGAAATGGAATCAGTAAATTCCAACCAGATGTGTATCCTGTAGTGTCTCTACCCTTATTATTATCCCCTTATGTTTGTTTAAAAAAGTTACATTGTATTTTATTTAGTAGTACTAGTACTAAAAAGCACAATTTACCATAAATTTTAAAGAATTTATGATGATGTCAGATGGAACTGTGTGAAACTAAGGTGAAGAAGCCTAAGGCACACATAATCCCCCCAACTCCTTCTACAGGTCCATGCTCAAGGGATAAACCCATTACATTTTACTTTGATTTTGGATTCAACTGAACCTGAAAATTCAAAACAACACTCACAGAAGCCTGCCAAGTTTATTCTTCAAAATTTTGATTGAGGATCTTATATTTTTCATCTAAAATAGAGCCTGGCTGAGAACCTGATGCTCCTTTTCTTGGCCATCATCTCTTGAAAAGCTCATGATCTTCAATTGGCCTTTGGACCCAAAGACATACTTTTATTTTCCCATGAAAATCCAAATTGGTAACATTATCTTGGATACCCACTGTAGGCAAATAAATTGTGCTAACTTGATTGTATTAAAAAATAAATATTAGAGTATTTAAAAATATATTAGGATAATATTGCTTGTTCTGATAGTTTAAAGATATTTTAAAATCTATGTTTCTTTCTTTCTCTTAGAGTTTTTCCCAATAAGCTGCTAAAAACATGAATAACTGTATTTCAACAATTTTCTCTTCTATATAATCCCCTGTTAGATGTTTTCAGCTACTAAAGACATTTTCAAAGATTAACCTTTGGAAAATGTCTTTTTAGACAGGAATAAACAAAAGGAAATGAAAACTATGTGAAATTTGCCAGAGAAACTTCTTCTAATGTACACTAATGAGTATGCAGGTCATATGGAAAATTAAACACCAAAATCTAAGTTTTCAGGGCAAGAGAATTTGTGCATACAAATCCTATTACCCGTTAATGGGATTTGTGTGGATCCCCAGTGACCTATTTAGAAAATTTACCCCCTGCTGTTCAAGATGAATATATCATGTGAACTAAACCTGAAAACAGAGTCCTACTGTTGGCTTCATCCCCAATCTGTCAAGCAAGCCCTCTATGATTTCCACAGGATTCTGGCAACAATTTCAGTATTTATATCTGACTGACAGTGCAAAATGACATCTGTATTTTCTCATTGAAGTTATCTGAAATTTGTTTCAAATATATTTTTTCAGTCTTCTTCCTTCCCTCCTCCTCTTCCTCCTTTTTTTCTTTTTCCTCTCCCTCTCCTTCTCTTTCTCTTCCTTCTCTTTTTCCTCCCGTTTGCCTTCCTCCTTTTCTTGTTTTTGAATATTGAAAGGAAACAAAGTAAGCATTAATATTCTGTTCCCCTGGATTTTGTTAAAGAGATGGAGGTTTATGTTACAACTGAAGAAGATATAGCGGATGTGGGTTCAGAATCCTCTCTGTGATATATACACACAAAATTCAGAGAATTCTTTGTAAGTCAGGCGTATCAGACATTGAGAAACCAAATCTCTGAGGCAACAAAAAATGTAATGTTTGCTGTGAGTGACTCTGCCTTCCTTCTTGAGCAACACTCATTTTCCCAACACCTATTCTCTCTGGGACAAAGTACTCTCATCTGTCCTCTCTCTGGACACAGAATCACACTCCAGATGGCATTGCTCCATCCTTCAAAATGGCATGTTTCTGCTTGCCAGCCAACGAAAACATCCATTTACTTAAAGTATAAATTTCAGCTTCTTTTTTGGAACATACAATCTGAACCAAACAAAACAAAATCGAACTAATACATGATTGAATTATCTCTCTTTAAATATCTGAATTCTAGATATTTTTATAACTAAAGAATTAAACTGCTTGATAATGGTGAAATACCAGATAATATCACAATAAATGTGGGGTAAGGAAAGACTTTGGGCAAGGAATTTTTGATATCACTCAGATCACTCAGATTGTTAAATTGAGATCTTTCTAACTTTTTGAAGTGGGCATTTCATGCCGTAAATTTCACTCTTAGCATTGCCTTAGCTGTGTCCCAGAGATTCTAGCATGTTGTATCTCTGTCCTCATTAGTTGCAAAGAACTTCTTTATTTCGACTTTAATTTTATTATTTACCCAAAAGTCATGCAGGAGGTGGGGAGAGGTGGCCCACTCCTGTAATCCCAGCACTTTGGGAGGCTGAGGCAGGTGGATCACTTGAGTCCAGTAGTTCGAGACCAGCCTGGACAACATAGTGAAACCCTGTCTCTGCTAAAACTATAAAAATTAGCTGGGCACAGTGGTACATACCTGTCATCACAGCTACTTGGGAGGCTGAGGCAGGAGAATTGCTTGAATCTGGAGGTGGAGGTTGCAGTGAGCCGAGATCGTGCCACTGCATTCCAACCTGGGTGACAGAGGGAGATTCTGTCTCAGAGGGGGGAGAAAGTCATTCATATGCAGGTTAATTTAATTTTCATGAAATCTTATGGTTTTGATCAATTTTCTTAGGCTTAATTTCTAATTTTATTGTGTGATGTTCCAAAAGAGTGGTTCTTATAACATCGGTTCTTTTGCATTTGCTGACGATTATTTTATGTCCAATTATTTGGTCAATTTTAGCATATGTGCCATGTGGTAATGAGAAGAATGTATATTCTGTCGTTTTGGGGTGAAAAGTTCTGTAGAGACCTATCAGGTCCATTTGATCCAGTTCTGAGTTCAGGTCCTTAATATCTTTGTTAATTTTCTGCCTCAATGATCTAGTACTTTCAGTGGGGTGTTAAATGAAGTCTCCCACTATTATTGTGTGGTTATGTAAGTCTCTTCCTATGTTTCTAAGGCCTTGCTTTATGAATCTGGGTGCTCTTGTTTTGGAGATATATATATATATATATATATATATATATATATATATATATATATAGTTAGTTAGTTAGTTAGTTCTTGTTAAATCGAGTCCTTTACCATTATGTAATATCCTTCTTTGTCTTTTTTATCTTTGTTGGTTTAATGTCTGTTTTGTCTGAAATTAGAATAGCAGTGTATTAGTCAGGGTTCTCCAGAGTGACATAACTAGTAGGATATATGTATATGTGAAAGGCAGTTTATTAAGGAGAATGGACTCACACAATCACAAGGTGAAGTCCCACAATAGGCTGTCTGCAAGCTGAGGAGCAAGGAAGCCAGTAGTGGCTCAGTCTGAGTCCCAAAGCTTCAAAAGTAGGGAAGGTGTCAGTGCAGCCTTCAGTCTGTGGCTGAAGGCACGAAAGCCCATGGCAAACCACTGCTGTAAGTCCAAGGGTCCAAAGGCTGAAGAACCTGGAGCCTGATGTTCAAGGGCAGGAAGTATCCAGCATGGGAGAAAGATGAAAACTGGAAGACCCAGCAAACTAGCTTATTCCCACCTTCTTCCACCTGCTTTTTCTAGTTGTGCTGGCAACTGATTAGATGGTGCCCACCCACACTGAGGATGGATCTTCCTCTCCCAGTCCACTGACTTAAATGTTAATCTCTTCTGGCAACATCCTCACAGACGCACCCAGAAACAATACTTTGCATCCTTCAATACAATCAAGTTGACACTTAATATTAACCATCACAGCAGCCTCTGCTTTTTTCTGTTTTCCATTTGCTTGGTACATTATTCTTCATCCCTTTACTTATGGGTGTCATTGCATGTAAGATGGGTCTTTTGAAGAAAGTATGCTGTTGGGTGTTGCTTCTTTATCCAATTTGCCACTCTGTGCCTTTTAATTAAGGCATTTTGCCTGTTTAGTCTCAAGTTAGTATTGATATATGTGGATTTGTTCCTGTCATCATGTCGTTAGCAGGTTATATGCAGACTTGTTTGTGTGATTGCTTTATAATGTCACTGGTCTGTGTGCTTAAGTGTGTTTTTCTAGTGGCCAGTAATGGTCTTTCTTTTCCATGTTTAGCACTCCTTTCAGGATCTCTTGTAAGGCAGGTTGGGTGTTAACAATATCCATTAGAATTTGCTTGTCTGAGAAGAATCTTATTTTTCCTTCACTTAGTTGGGCTGGATATGAAATTATTGGTTGAAAATTCTTTTCTTTCTTTTA
Source organism: Homo sapiens (assembly GCF_000001405.40). Taxonomy (NCBI): domain Eukaryota; kingdom Metazoa; phylum Chordata; class Mammalia; order Primates; family Hominidae; genus Homo; species Homo sapiens. Next base: position 137,632,778 of record NC_000004.12, on the reverse strand, counting down.
TTTTCATTGATGTCCTTGGAGGTTTGATTATGATGTAGCGTGGGTTCAGTCAACTAGCTTCACTTCTAGTAGATTTTTGGAGGGCCAAGGCTCAGCATAGCCTCCCTGGGCTGTGTGTTTTAACTCTGGGGGGCTGGTATGGGGCCCCCGGCTTTATTCTCTGGCCCCTCAAGTTTGGAAACCTACTGGACTGGAGGGGCCAAGGTGTTCCTGGACCTCTGGCCACAGCATTTCAAAGGGTGGTGCCAGTCAAACTGCTTTATTGGGCAGTGGCAGCAGGATCTATGCTCATTGGCTTGTGCCAGCAGCAGCAGCAGCATGGGGGTGCATGCTCCCCAGCTGGCGCAGGACACTAGCAGGCCTGAGCTACTGGCTTTCAAGCAGGCACTTGCAGTGGTGGCAGTGATGGTATGGTTGGGGGGCAGGCAGGGCCACTGATGTCCATGTATACATTCACCCCCACAGCAGTGTTGGTGCAGGAATGGGCACTGCTGGGCACAGTGCTGGCAATTTGTTCATGTTTGTGCCAGTGGTGGTGGTGGTGCAGGACAGGTAGTATGGCTACTTGTATCCCTGTGGATGTTCATGGCAGTGGCAGTGGCAGCACAGAGCAGGGGGGCAATGCTGCTGTTGTTCATGCATGTGTTTGTGTCAGCAATGACTGTGTAGCAGTGGCACCCACACACTGGCAGGGGAGGAGACAAGTTCTGCCTATGTATATGCAAGCCAGCAAAGCGATGGGTGAGAGTGGTCATGGGCAAGCATATGCCAACAAAGTGACATGGAGGAGGAAGTGGTGGGTGGAGGGAAGATCTAGGTGGGCTGGTGCCTGTCAGTGGGGTCCACTGTGCTGGAGCTCTCTGATAGTAAGGCACCATCTGCCAATGTAGCAGCTATGATGCAGGCTCACCAGGGGCACCCTGACTGGGCATCTGAGGCTGCACTACAAGCAGTCATGGCCAGGCTGGGGCCCCAGGAGAGGCTAGCAGACAAAAAGGCACTCAGGTTGGACTGGCCCGATTTCACTAGCAAGATCCAAGATTGCCCTTCTCTGTTCAGGTCTGACACTTCCGGCCAGCCTTGGAGGATGGGCATCCTTGGCCATGCTCTCCTGCAGACATTTCCACACCAAACCCTCTGGGCTTCACACAGGCTGGAGTCCTACCACTACCACCTCTCAAAGCAGCTATCCCTGCCAGCTCTTGAGCATCTGTGGGGGCCGTGGGGTTTAATGATTCTAGGATTTCAGAAGCCTGTGGTGAGAACAGGTTGCTCCTTGCCTCCTCAACTCATCCCTTCCCCAGGAGTCACTGGGGGCCAGGAACAAGTCCCCATGTGTATAACCCTATGCAGGGCCCAGCTTTCTCACCCTTCAGCCCAGCATTTGTGACCTTCCTCTGTTCACTCTCAATGCCTTCCTTCTTAAGGTCTGTTTAGAGTGCACCAGTCTTCTTGGTGTCCTGCTCCCTTGGTGGTCCCATGACCCTCTGAACCATTAGATGTTCCTCCTAGCTGCATCTAGTTGGCTATCTTGCCTCCAACTCCTGATACATATGTCTCTGTGACCTCTTAGTTTCATTCCTTTAACTCTGAATGTACATAAGGAATCATTGGACTCAATTTCCATTTTTAAACTTTATTTTTTGAGCATTTTATAAAGATTGATATTTTTTGACTCTTATTTATGCTTAAAGATTTCCTGAGTTCAAAGGGAAAAAAGTTAGCAGAATAAAGCTTATTATGTTTTTAATTACTATATGGATTTGTCAATGCTTTTATTTTTAAAAAAGATATATTTTAACATATTAATAACCTATGTTTTTATATTCCTTTAAACATTTTGTTATTTCATAAACCTAAGAATTATTTTATCTATACTCTTCATTACTCATCAATTATTTCAGCAATTATGTTCAGCTGTGCTGAAAAACCTAAGATGATAAGAATTTTAAAAAAATGATGAAATCAACTCAAGGATGATTAATAAAGTGAAATAAATTGTTATCTTTTGGCTTATTAATATTTTGCCCAAAGTATTGTGTTATCTTTTAAAAAGGTATAAAATAAATTTGTCAATATTGTGTAGTCTGCTTTAGCCTTCACTAAACACAATAAAAATTCTGAAGTGTTGTTTTCTGCCTATTTTAGCCAAGTACACAGGAAGACAATTCACAATAATCAGATAAATTGGAAGATGAACACAAAGAAACACAGAATAGCACTGTGGATTACATGGTAATAAAATTGATCACAGAAGCAAAAGTCTTAGGCTGGGTTTTCAGATTGATGGTACTTTACAAGAATTTTCTTAAACTCAAAATTGATGACTAAGCAATATATTTCTGAGGCAAAAGATAATATGGTTTGCTCATCCAGTTAGTCAATCAACAGGAAAAAGGAGTTCATAATATACAAATTTTGAGAGGAATCTAGACCACCCCATTTTACAAAAATGTATGACTATAGTATTTTATATTTTACGATGTTTCGTGCCAAAATTTACTTGACACACACAATTTTGCTATAATTGAATTCTGATGAATATTGTAATAAAAATTAAATTAAATTTTTTATTTAAAAGTTTTGCAGATTACTTGTAAAAAGACTTAAAGTATTTTAAAAATTAAAGCATTCCCTAGGCCCAGATGGTAAATGGTTATGACTGTTTTCCTAGAAAATTGAGGGTTAAGGTGCATAGATTCTAAATGAGGGAGTTTATGTATTCTAAATGAAAACTTTCTGGCAAATCTAATAAAAGTGCACTTTCTCATCTTGACTTCTAATGTTGGCTAAGGGTAGAAAGGACTCACAGGCTGATTGCGGCTATCCTTGGACCCGTGGGATATGAGAAAAGACATGGCAAGGAGCCAAAAGGAGAGGGTGAAGATCCTGGAGTGACCCAAATTATCTCTAAATGTATTTGTGTTTTCACATATAACTCTCCATATTTATTTCATGTGGAATATATTACTGTCGAGTTTGGCATTTGAAAGACAAATACTACTGATCAAATTATCAACTAGTTTGGTTTAAGAAATTTTCAATAACATTTTTAAACCTGGGCATCCCAGGGCAGCAACATCAGCACTTATGACAGAAAAAGAATAATATAAAACGATTCTTTGTTGTTTTATGAGCATGTGCCAAGCCAAAATTCCCATTGTGCACCTACACATCCAATTATCAAAATCAACATGTCAGTTCAAACATAGTGCACGTATATTTTTCCTTATTTGTTGACTTGTAATTACTTAAATTTAGCTCATGCTTCTATCTAAGAAAACAGCCATAATAATGATTATGGGTTGTATACATATGAATAGGCCACAATTAAGCTGTTGAATATAATTTATCAATTTAATTAAATTAACCCGAAAGCCCTACTGAGTGGCAGAGGTCTAGATAAACTAATCCTTTTGATTACGTGGTAGCAAAACACATCCATCAGATTCCTCGTCCCACTCACATGTGTCAAGGACATTCAGTCATGTAGATAGCTTGGTTACATTGCATCTACTTGGTCTCTGTTCATTAAGTTCTCTCAACTCTGAACCATTAGTAGTAGGAATCAATTTTAAGTTTGTGAGCTACAGTGCCTCCACTCTGGCCCAATCTCTTAGTTCCTTTATAAATTTCTAACCTTATCCTTCATGGGTTCCCAACAATAAGTTCAGTATTCAAAGCTAGAAGTACCTTATTGCTCCTTCTTAGGGAGGAAAACTGAAACCCCAAGATCATGTCCTTTGCTTCTCCCCAGTTCTCTAGGTTACTTATGCAAATTGTAACTGGATTATTTTGTATTTTCCAATGAACTTCTGTAAGAGAAAAGATATAGAAATAAAACTCATATATAGGAATGTGTACTATAACAAACAATACAGATGAACCCGATTTTTCTAATTTCAGAAAAAATTTTGAGAAGCTATTATGTATTGTGTTCTGTGCTAGTCTCCTGAGAAAGATGAAAAATAATACCAATAGGCAAAACAATACAGTAACACGTAATAACAGAAGTTTTTATGAGACTTCTTTAGCGTTCTATGGGATCATGAGGTTCCGAGGAAGCATCAAGCTTTCATGACAGTTCAGGTAAGGATTCACAGGGAGGATGACTATTATTGTCACTACTGTTCTAATCACATATCTATCAAGTTGTTCAATTTTCTTTTTCACCTGGTAATAGTGCATCATCCTCTCTTACTGGGATCATGATGTTTCCTTTTGTTTTTAGACCAGAGCCATCTTCTGTAAAAATCACTCTAATAGTTCTCTTGTCCTTTGGAACAAAACCATTATTTCTTTGCAAGTTTTCACTGCCTAGCCTCACACTTCCTTCTTAGGAAAAAAAAAATGTCTATAATTTTGGACCTTTTCCTGACTAAATTGCTCTTACTCATTCCATCTAAATGTAATTGTTATTGACTATAACTTTTCTGCTCCTTAAGGAAATCCACATGCCCTGTCATTCCCATTTCCTTTCAATAACCTCTTTTCATCTGAGCCTCCATTCCTTGCAGCAGTTTGTGGCTTGCCAGTTTATCATTAAGTAAACCTTCTAAACCCATTTTTGTATTTGATAACTTTTACAACACAAAAGCATAATCCCCAATAAACCTAGGTAAAAGATGATTACCATTTATAAACGCTTCAGGGTTTATCCAAATAGCTCTATTTTTTTTTAAACTTCCATGCTCTTGATAGGCAAGTTGAATGAACGTTGATTCACAACCATTTGTATGAGTATGCATTTCACTCTTCAAAGAAATGTAGTGCCATATGTAGAAAAAAAAAGTTGCACAAAAGCAGCTAATTAGTAAGAAATAACCCAGAGGAAACAAGCCTGGAATTAGTGATGGTTGCCAACCCAAAGAAGCAAATGTCATTCTACCATAAAATCCCAGAACATTCCTTTCTTTTTCTGAAGATCTCAGGATCAAACATTCCTTTCTTTTTCTGGAGATCTCAGGATCAAAAGAAACAAATGCTGCAAAGGTAAATAGAAATCCATGTAGCTATAGCATATGTTGTTTGCAGAGAACAGACCCAAACAACTACATTGGCATCAGACTTGAGCTTTTTAATTGGAGACCGATTGTGTCCAACTAAAGATGCCTTAATGAGACAGAGGCACAAAAGGGAAGGTACATTAACACAAAGCTTGTTTATGAGTCAGCTGAGGATCGTTATTTTCATAGGAAGGTTCCATGTTTTGTCATTTTCTGCTAAAACTACATGACAACTGAGTAATTTGCAAATAGAAAAATAAGAATAAGTTACAGAACTGTCAACAGTGCAGAACTGCTTTTTGAAAACTTTATTTAAAAATTCAAGCAAAACCACTCACATATGTGAATATGCAAAAATTCGTCTTCTTTTTCATTTGTGTCTTCTTGTTATTAGGTTATAAAATAGAAGATGAGTGGCTTCCTTCAACTAATGAAAGTCTACAGTCCATCTTGTCAAGGCTGTATTAGCATTTAATTCACTAAAAGCATTTAGATAGATTTTGATTTTTTCTCTTCAATACAGACAAAGATTCAAAACCACTTTCATTCAGTCAAAGACAAACATAGTTTAAGAGACAAATTAAACACAACACCTTTATCCCAGTTACTACTCAAGAATGCTTGCTCTAGTGTGGCCTCATTTGAACAAATAGCCTATTCAAAGGATTTGACCTTATTTACTACGTCTCAGAAATACAGAGAAAATAAGACTCTGGAGATAATGGGAATCACTATAAATATTTTTGTCATTTCCTTTATCTTTGCCTTTCTCAACTTCAAGTACATTTCACCAAGGTTTTATACAGCACTGTTTCTGCTCTACTTTTCTATTCTGGGAAAATCATTGTTCTAAAGGGAAAGGAATACTATATATTTTTTTAACCTCAAAGTCCAGCTGAAACAAGTTTGGAACTCAGATGTCTTTAGGAAAGGAAGGTTTAGCAAATCCCTAAATTTTTCATTGAATTAACCCCAGGGGATATAATAGGAAAGAGTTTTCTTATTTTGGAGAATATAATTCCTAGTAAGTTTGGTTGGGAAGTGGAAAGGGGGAGTGTGGGGTGCTCACTTTGACTTTACAACAGGGTCAATTTATTTAATTCAAGACAAAAAGACATTCGCCTGGTAGTTTCTGAGCCAACATACACACACACACACACACACACACACACACACACACACACTCTCGCATGCACGCATGCGTGCATGATGATAACAAAAAAGCAATACGTCACATTACTCTTGGAAAGATCTACTTTAGAGTAGGACCATAGCAACTCTTCTGATCTGCTTTTAAAATATAATTTAACCATTTGAAGCTATGTAGTGAGACAACATAGTTAATAATTTCCTCTTGTATTTTGTATGTACTTCTATGACATAGCACTAAATATTCTATTGTAAAAATTATTATTGTATATAATAGTGTATAACCTTCATGCCAAATAGATCATTGTAGAAAAATATGATGCCATATACTTATTTGTGTATTCAATATAGCATAATGCCTTGTGATATATAGGTGTTTAATAAATGAGATGAGATGGCTCTGAATTTAAGAGATCATGTTAAGGTTGGGTATAGACTTTTAAATGAAAATAAAACCTCCCAACCACCATTTGCCTTAACAAATTGTGAAGTTCTACTTTAATTAGTAGTTTGGTTTTATAATAGAACAAACACTGACTTGAACTCTATGATGCCACAACTTCTTGACTATATCAGCAATAAAATGCATCAAAGCAGATGTCTAATTTTTTAACACATACTATTTGAGATGTATATCACACAATATAGTTTTAAAATGCTTTATTTTTCCCTACTTAGAACTTTTTAAGTTCAAAGTACACTATAATTTACTATGGAAAAATGTAAATACCAAAAAATAAGATGAAATCAAAATCAGCTGAACTAACTCTGGTTTAATTAGTTATTAAACCTACTCCCTTAAATGAAGATGCCTACAGAAATAGTAACATTTTCATAAGAAATGAGAGGCCTCAAAATGAAACCGTATGTCCTACTGAAGCTAGTCCTTAAGCTCAGGAAATACCAATTATTTTTGTTGTTGTTTTATCTTTCAACTTCTAAAAATTTAGAGACGGTTTTGAATTCCAGTTTGGCAACTAATGCAATTCCCCATCAAAGTCACTTATTCCTATGCCTTTAACTTTTTTAAAGTTATATTTGATGTTTCCTCAAATAATTTTTTTCTGAATGGAAAACAATGTGATTTTTAGTTGATAGTTTAGTTTCGTATCTTTTTTTCACATACACAAGCTATGAGCAGAATTAAAAATATCTTTTGTTTGCCGTATAAGCAGTTTTTTGACTGCTGAAGATTTGTCTTCTATTTTCAACTTTACAAGATTTTATGGACAGAATGTGCTATTTTGAATACTAATTTATTGCTAGTTATTTATATGTCAGTTCTAATAAATAATTTAAAACATTGGAAATAAAGAAATATATCACATTGCTGTTTCTCATTGAAAGATGCCTTAAAATGGGCCAGGTGCGGTGGCTCATGCCTGTAATCCCAGAACTTTGGGAGGCCGAAGTGGGCGGATCACGAGGTCAGGAGATCGAGACCATCCTGGCTAATACTGTGAAACCCCGTCTCTACGAAAAACAACAACAAAAAATTAGCTGGGCGTGGTGGCGGGCGCCTGTAGTTCCAGTTACTCGGGAGGCTGAGGCAGGAGAATGGCGTGAACCCAGGAGGCGGAGCTTGCAGTGAGCCGAGATCGCGCCACTGCGCTCCAGCCTGGGCGACAGAGTGAGACTCCGTCTCAAAAAAAAAAGATGCCTTAAAATCTTCTTGCCAAAATACCATGTCTAATATTTCTAAAATTACCCAGTTCTGGCCTCTCTATGCCTTTTTAAAAAAATTATGAGCCAATATTCTTTCATTTAGAAAAGATTTATTTACCAAAATATGGGATGAGGAAGACGGTAGTCGAGCATCTATATACAGACTCTAGCTTGTGCACTACTATTATTGGATAGTGAAGGACTTTTTTTTTTTTCTCATTCACCCTTTCACTTTCACATAAACCAACAGGTGGCATATTTTAGAATTTCTTCTGCAATCTACTCTTGTTATTATTACTGATTTTATTATTTAGTTTTCAAGTATTTCAGTTTCATTTGTACATTTGAAATTAATTGTTTAATAATATAGAAAGAACAAAAGCTAATGGCAGTCACTAATATTAGGTGGTTTTGTACAGTTTACCATTTGCTCTTCACAGATACTAGTTGATTTAATTCTTACTAAAATTGTGTGGCATTGGATTGTTATTATTTCTTCTTGTCAAAGTTGAGTTAATACATCCAGACAATGTTAACCAGTTAGATATGATTCTACTGACCCAGTAGTATCAGCATTGAATCCAATACTTGTGATTTCTAACTATATTATTAAAATGTCTTCTCATGATCTCTTCTGTCTCTGAGTTACTACATCAAGGCAATCCAGTATATCTTAGAAAAGTAGGGAAAAATACATTTGATGTCTAACCTTTATTATCTTACTTATAAAGTATGATAATACTTATATTTTTAATACTCTATAAGTATTCTTATACTTATAAGTACCAAAGATGTAAATTTTTTAGACTTCAATTTTTAAACATATGAGCATAATTATTTTGAACTTTTTTCTTTTATACCTCATTCATCATGTATCTGATCATGAATTACAGAACTTTAAAAATGCAAGGAGGATTAGAAATGATCATGCTCATAACTAATTCTTAGAATAAAATTGAGAATAAAGCATTATCATATGTATACAACACATAGAGGGCAATATGGTTTTCGTGTCATAAAACCACACACTCATCGTGGTGTAGAGGGAATCCCATGCTATTAAAGGAAAGCTTTAGTTTTCCTTTTGTAAAATTAGGAATAAAGTCATCTGCTCTACCTTTTTTAGTTTTTTTTTTTCATTTTGAGGATCTGATTACCTAAACTGTGTAAAATAGCTTTGTAAAATATAAAGTGTCATAGAAATATAATCTTTTATGGAGAATATTTACAGTGATATTTCTGAAATATTTTACTTCTAGATAGCACATGCATTTCTCTCACAGAGTAGAAATTTCACTCGCAGAGTAGATTAAAAAACATAATTTTTTTTTGTCAAAAGAGGGCAAACTGACATTTAGTAATGAGCAGAACTGGGAAAATAGTACCATCTACTACCCTCCTGAAGAAACTTCTTATGTCTGTTAAATTTATTTTAAAAATTAATGAGAATGTTGGAGTTTATATCCCTCATTAGAACTCCAACTGGATAGACTAGAAAAGGGACCAACTGCTATCTGTAAGCCTGTTTTTCAAATTTCTGTTTTACAAAACAGATTTGAATCCCTAGCTCTTAAGGAAAAAAAAAAGAAAGAAAAGTCTTCCAAGCTGCCAGCCGCTCAGAGCTGTGTAAAATAAAATGGAGGTAGGAGGACAAAACCTTTCAGGATTGAGCAGAGGCCATGTAAACAGATGTGGGTGCAGTGAATAGAAAAGGTTGAATAGTTGCTTTGTTTCCTGCTTTCTGTTTGTACCACAGAGGGTTCTCTCTACACAAGTCTTTCTGACAGATGATGTACCACATAACTCTTACTGCTGTAGAAACGTGCAGAGTCCTGATATTTGCTAAACACAGGCACTCTTAGCTCTTGGTTTTGTTTATTTAATGAATGTTTATTTTAATGAATGTTTCATGTAAAACCAAACATGTATAGTAATTATGAAAGAGAATTTATGAAGAATATAACTGAAAAGCCAATGATATTTTGCTTTTTCATCAACTGACAAATAACCATCAGTCTCAGACTGCATTGTACAAAGAAAAGTATTGTATATGAATTTTTAAAAGTTGCATTTATTATTGAAAAGCGTTAAATAAGTGTTAAATAACATCATAGATAAAAGAGAGGGAGGGTATCTTCATAGTAAAAATGTTCCTGAAGAGAAGCCCTGTTATAAATGTAGACAATGTGTGAAACTGAGTTACATAACCTTCACTTTCTTCTTAAAGATTGAAGTAAAAAATAGTACATGGCATGGTAGAAGTACTCTACGTATGTCCATTGATTTATTTCATGAGGAACTATTATTGTTGCCTCCGTGTAATAGGTCACAGACACCAGAACTTGGAAACCTGCCCAGGTTTCTTTAAATAACCACAGGGGACTGGCATTTTGTGATCCAAGATACCTTGTTGGGTGGGTGGGTGGGTGGGCGATTGAGTGGTGGGGGATGTCTGCTTTATTTTTTATTGTACTTTTATTTTGAATCAAATAAAATGAACATCAGCTCCTAAGGCCAGTAGTAGCCTACAGCAGTAAAGTGTAAAATGTTCCTTCATAAATGTATATGGTCATATTCAACTCTTCCCCTGTAGTAGATTTTTATTTCATATGGAACAGAATAAATGAGTCTCCTGAAAGCTGGTGGATTTATAGCTTGAATTTACTATTCTTCTAGCATAGTGTTAACTTCACTAATAAAAATGTTGTGTCTGCTTTGCAGAAATTCTCCACTGAAAAAATCATGCATATCCAGGCATAGAAGAGGGGTAACAACTACAGGAAAAACAAGAAATAGGGAAGAAGGTAAACAGTGAGGAGGTGCTCCTTTTCTTGAATAGCATAATAATGGATAATAAATGTTCAAAGACATAGTCTTAGAAACTGCAGTTAACTTGTTATTATCACAGAGAATCCTCACAGTCCTGCCTGTATCCTCTTGTATTATCCAGATATTTTTCTTTCATGAGTTAATTTGTGTAAGTATGTACAATTTTTCTTTAGAAGAAAGGGAAAAAAGAATATGGTCTTTGGACACAAAAATATAGTCAGGTAGAAGGAACAAGTTCTACTGTTTGATAGTATAGTAGGAAAATTATAGGTAACAATAATTTACTATGTATTTCAAAGTAGCTAGAAGAGAAAAAATGTAGTGTTCCCAGCACAAAGAAAAGATAAATGTTTAAGGTGACGAATAGTTCAATTACTCTGATTTAATCATTACACATTGTATACATGTATCAAAATATGACAGGTACCCCAAAATATGAACAGCTATGAAATATCAATAAAAATAAATAAATAAATATTTTAAAAGGATACCGTCTCCTTGAAATTTATCAGTTTTCCCCTTATATGTTGAAATACTTGTGCAATTATTGACATGTTGTTTGGAGCTATTTAGAAGTGTATGAATAAGGTAGCTTGCTTTAATTTCTTGTTCTGCCACACATTCTGACTTTGTCATTAATAAACTAATCTGATTTGGACACAGAAACAAGCAAATGAAAAACACTGAAAACAGAGGGAAGGAGAGGAGGGAAAGGGACACTGAGGAAGGGTTTACTGGTTTGTCTGCCTATCTGGAGGCAGCTCCATCACCCTTCCCTTTAGTCTCGCTGACAGGGCTGGAGGCCCTTCTATACATGACCGTGTCTCATGCATTCATGGGCCGCTGTGTCACCACAGCGCCTTTTGTTCAGAGGCAGATAATTGCTCTCCCCTTCTCTCAGCTGCCATATGGTGCAATGGAGACCAACTTACAAAGACAGACAGGGAGAGAAAGAGAGTGAAAGAGGAAGGGAAGAAAGAAACGCAAGAGACAGCAGATGACACTGATTTATGCTCAGTGTTAATGGGGCAAGTGAGCAAGGTGGGGCTAAGAAGTGAGAAGGCTAAGGGGGCAAAAGGAGGGCGTGTGAAACTTTTCACAGGCAGGCAACCAGGCTGCTTCCTGTGAGGCAGGCTCTGGTTCTCCAAATATAGGGCTTAAAATGGAACACTTATAGTTCAGTTCCTTAACTTTTGTTACTAATATTAAAATTACTTCCATGATTCCTAATGGTCAAGGCTTACATTCTTTTATCATCATAATAATAGTTTAAAAATCAGACATGCTTCTCTTTCTATGCATATTTAGTTTGCATTATAGTCAGTACTTTGTGGAGTCACTTTCAGTAAGAAAATTAAAATGCACATGTGTTTTTCTCTTCTTAATCATCACATGAACTACCAAATTGTTCTATTAACACTACATTATGTTTTGAGGATTTGGGAGCCTACCTTTTCAGGAGTCTGCCATATCCTATCAGGGCATAGTCTGTGCTTTCTTGATAAAGCTCATGAACACTCCTAATTTACAGGTTTGTATGTGAGGGTTTTTAGATTTTATTTTATTTTATTTATTTATTTTGAGACAGAGTCTCGCTGCGTCTCCCAGGCTGGAGTGCAATGGCGTGATCTCGGCTCACTGCAACCTCGGCCCCCAAGGCTCAAGCGATTCTCCTGCCTCAGCCTCCTGAGTAGCTCGGATTACAAGCATAAGCCACCATCCCTGGCTAATTTTTGTATTTTTAGTAGAGACGGGTTTTTGCAGTGTTGTCCAGGCTGGCCTCAAACTCCTGACCTCAAGTGACTCGCCAGCCTCAGCCTACCAAAGTGCTGGGATTACAATTATGAGCCACCATGCCCAGATTTTTAGATTTTAAAGATACAGTGGCCTGAGTCCATAATGCAAATGCATTTGGGCACTTTCAAAAACGTTTATATTAATTATGGCAAAATAACTGATTTTTTCCTCCATTTATTTTCTATATATTAATAATACAATATACTGCCATATTGATCATGTTTTATAAGTCAAAAGTGGCAGAAGTAGAGCACTTTTTAACATAAGAATAGGTTGATCATTTTGTTGATTTCTTCAGTGAAACAGAAAGTAGTACAGCTGCCCAATATTTCATATTTAATCCTAATGTGTAATGATAAGGTAATGTTATGTGAAAATATTAATTATTATTACACAAGCATAGTTAAATGTCCTTAAATAATAGGGTGAGATAAGTTATGATGTATTTATTTTAGATATAATTATCCAACTTATTATAAAGTCTATAGCCTTGCCTGCTTTAATTCTGTTTTTCTCTTGGCATCTATTATATGACACTCTACTAATTTTACACTTGTTCATTGGCAATTACTGTTAAGTTTATATTGCTGATTTTTCCTAAACTACCTTAAAGTTGGAGGGCACCAGTGCTTGAACTTTGGATTTCTTTCTTTTTTTTTTTTTTTTGAGGTGGAGTTTTGCTCTTGTTGCCCAGGCTGGAGGGCAATGGCACGATCTTGGCTCACCGCAACCTTCGCCTCCCAGGTTCAAGAGATTCTCCTGCCTCAGCCACCCTAGTAGCTGGGATTACAGGCATGTGCCACCAAGCCCGGCTAATTTTGTATTTTTAGTAGAGACGGGGTTGCTCCATGTTGGTCAGGCTGGTCTCGGACTCCCGACCTCAGGTGATCCAACCACCTCGGCCTCCCAAAGTGCTGGGATTACAGGCACGAACGAGCCACCGCTCCCGGCCTGGATTTCTTTTTATCTCTAGCTACACTTACTCCTTTGAGGATCTTGCCTAATCTTATGACTTTACATACCGTCTATATGATGACAACACCCACATCCACATTGCCTGAACTATATCCATATATTTCTAGCTGCCGCCCCAACATATTCTTGTATTTGTCTAATGGACCTCTTAAATTAGCATATCCAGAACTAAATTCTTGATTTGTACCAAATAAACCTGCTTTTCCCATAGGCTTCTCCACCTCAATTAATAACAATTCTATCATGTTTGTCTCTTAGGCTAGAATTCTTTTTTTTTTTTTTCTTTTTTTTGAGACGGAGTCTCACTCTGTCACCCAGGCTGGAGTGCAGTAGCACAGTCTCGGCTCACTGCAACCTCTGCTTTCCAGGTAAAAGCAGTTTTCCTGCCTTAGCCTCCCCAGTAGCTGGGATTATAGGTGCCTGCCACCACGCCCAGCTAATTTTTGTATTTTTAGTAGAGATGGGGTTTCACCATGCTGGCCAGGCTGGTCTTGAACTCCTGAACTCAAGTGATCTGCCTACTTTGGTCCCCCAAAGTGCTGAGATTACAGGCATGAGCCACTGCACTCAGTCAAAAATTATTGAAATCATTAATTTTTCTCTTTCTTTCATAACATATGTCCAAAATATCAACAATCTCTGTTGATTTTAATGCATTCAGAATCCAATGCTTCAACCACTTCCATTGCTATTATTTTGGGCCAAGTCACCACTGTTTCTTTGTTGAATTATTTTAATATTTGCTTATTGGTCTTACTGATTCTATTCTTGCTCTTATACTATACTCTCAATAAAGCAGCCAGGGTAACCCTTGTCATACTTTTTATGTAATTTCATGTCCTTATGTGTATAAAAACCTGTGAGCAATCTGGCCACCCATTACATTTTAACCTTGTTTCAGCCATACTGGCTTCCTTCCTACTCTGCAAATGCACTAATAACACTCCTGCCTCAATACTTTTATACCAGCTTTTCTGTCTGTCTAGAATGCTCTTTCCCAAGATTTACTCACTTCCTGCAAGGTTTTTCTTACATGCCGTCTTCTTGCTGAGACCTTCCCTGACTCTCCATTTAAAATGTTTACTCTTCCCCAAACACATTTTTCCCCTTCCTTGTTATATTATTTCCATAACACCTTTTACTTTCTAACTTCCAAGTTAGAAAAGAGAAAAGGAGAGAAGAGAAAAGAAGAAAGGAAAAATATTTCTTCCTGTAGAGTGGCAGCATGAGGCAATTGGAGTTATTGAAAATGCACGATATGTCTTTTTGTGAAGTCTAAATTATAGTTACCAAGTCAAGTTACTGTCAGAAATAGATCACCTGGAGAGAAATAAGTGGTTTTGTTTTCTTTCTGCCTAAATATATGTGATTTATCAAAATATATTGTACATTTACTACTCTTTTTTCTCAACCATTTCCAAATATTGAAGAATTGATATATGTTGGATGCCAGGATCTACAAGACAGTGCTTCCCAAACTGAACTGATGCTAAGATAAAAGGAAAACTACTAATAAAGGAGAAAAAACATAAAAAAAATTAATATCCTGTAAAGGAAAAAGTAACTGATAATAGATAAATAAAAGTAGCAACCTAAATTTGGCTATTACCACTTTAAAAAGGCAAGTTAGCCGGGCGCAGTGGCTCACGCCTGTAATCCCAGCACTTTGGGAGGCCGAGGTGGGCAGATCACCTGAGGTCGGGAGTTCAAGACCAGCCTGACCAACATGGAGAAACCCCGTCTCTACTAAAAATACAAAATTAGCCGAGCATGGTGGCACATGCCTGTAATCCCAGCTACTTGGGAGGCTGAAACAGGAGAATCGCTTGACCCGGAAGGCAGAGGTTGCAGTAAGCCGAGATCATGCCATTGCCCTCCAGCCTGGACAATGAGAGTGAAACTCCGTCTCAAAAAAAAAAAAAAAAAAAAAAAAAAAGGCAAGTTAAATGAAAAACCTAGAAATAAAACACATCTGTTACTCCTATAACCAAAAACATTTAGTATATTATGTTCATTTAATAAATGGTGAGAAGATAATATTCCTCTGTTTAGAAGTAGACAAAGTTCTAACTACCTATTTTTTATCCTTAATTCTTTTCTTTTATGATCAACATGTATCACAAGAGCTTGCTGTGAAAGTTCTCCAGTGAGAAATTACTCAAAATATGGAAAGAAGCTTATTTGAAATCAACATAATAAAGTACAATCATCAGAAGTTTTTTTTTAAATTGGAGAGCATGGGGCCTGGAGTCAGTAGTGTCCCAGCTCAAACGTTTAGCTACCACAATTGCTTAGTAAACATACTTAGTTACTCTGAGCCTCTGTTTCTTCATCTGTTATATGAGAGTTTTAACATCTATCTCAATTCATTGTGGTGATGGTGATATAAATGCCTCTGAGATATGTTCTGGCATATATAAAATGCTCACAATAGTGTACTTATTATCAGTATTAATCTAATAAAATATCGAATGATTCCTAAAAGTTAGAGATGTAGAAATCACTTTTAGCCATGTTTCTCCCTTTAAAAGGCAAAAGTTCATAATATTTCAATTCAAATTTACATAACTTGCTTTTTATAGCTTTAAGCACAGCAATAAAAAAAGAGAACTAGTAACAGTGACATCTGGCACCTTGATTACTATGTTTCTTCCCAAATAAGTCTCAAAATACACATTCTCTACCTGATAACATATAAGGACAGGTTTTCCTGATCCAAACCTAAGGTTTGTCTAATATCTACAAGTTCGTGTCTTTATTTTTAAAAAGTGATTGCAATCTATGTCACAGAAATGAGCACTAACTTGTTGAACTCAGACACTTTGGCCAGCTTCAGTTGATGAGATGTTGAGGTAAGGCGTGGTTTTAAATGAACTCTACCATGGTGCCTCAGGCTGCTATAACAAAATACCATAGACTGGATAGCTTAAATAAGAGCCAATTATTTCTCGTAGTTCTGGAGCCTAGGAAGTCCATGATAAAAGTGCTGGCAAATTTGCCTCTTGGTGAGGGTCCTCTTCTTGGCTTGCAGATGGCAGTCTTTTTATTTTATAATCACGTGGTACAAAGAGAGAAAGAGAGCTTTAGTCTCTTCCTCTTCTTATAAGAATACTAATATCATCATGGGGACCCCACCCTCCTAACCTCATCTAAACCTAATTACTTCCCAAAGGCTCCATCTCCAAATATTATCACGTTGTGGGTAGGGCTTCAAGATATGAATGGTGGGAAGCACAAACTTTCCGTCCCTAGCATGTTGTTAAGCAGAAGACCTGAAATAAATGTATGAACTGGTGGCAATTATTGCTAATAACAATGTGGATGCTGACTTCAGATTGCAGATCCCATTCTTAGGTGGATCCTTTCTTTATATGTTTGCTCTTTATGCTTGTAGTTATCATCTCAATTTTGCTTAAAATAGCCACTGTTTTTATCTGCCTGTCAAATTATTCTTTTTTTTGAGACAGAGTTTTGCTCTTGTGGCCCAGGCTGGAGTGCCTTGGAGTGATCTCTGCTCACCACAACCTCCACCTTCTGGGTTCAAGTGATTCTCTTGCCTCAGCCTCCCCAGTAGCTGGGATTACAGGTATGCACCACCACACCTGGCTAATTTTGTATTTTTAGTAGAGACAGGGTTTCTCCATGTTGGTCAGGCTGGTCTTGAACTCCTGACCTCAGGTGATCCACCCACCTCAGCCTCCCAAAGTGCTGGGATTACAGGTGTGAGCCACCGCACCTGGCCTTGTCAAATTATTCTAAGTGCTACGGTTATTTTTTTAGCACCCTAAAGCTTCACGGTGTTTTTTTAAAGCAGATGTCAACAGTTTATGTATGGTTCTTCTTTTCGTGATAGTTTTTGTTTCGCTCACTAAACTAAGTAGCCACAATCTAACCTGGGCAAATGATCAGTAATATATTTCAAAGATGGCAGAAAGACTAAGCTCCAAGGTCTTGTTATTGGAGCAGCTCACCCTAGTGTCATGTGATGTATACTAAGCTCTATGTACAAGGCATTAAGCTGGGTATTTTTATTGACCTTGTCATTTAATACTTGTATTTGTTTTTGTTTTTGTTTTGTTCTTGACAGCGTCTCACTCCATCACCCAGGCTGAAGTGTAGTGGCGTGGCATGATGTCAACTCATTGCCACCTCTGCCTCCAGGTTCAAGAGATTCTTGTGCCTCAGCCACCCAAGGAGCTGGGATTACAGGGGTGTGCCATCACACTGGTCTAATTTTTGCGTTTTTAGTAGAGACAGGGTTTTGCCATGTTGGCCAGGCTGGTCTTGATCTTCTGGCCTCAAGTGATTGGCCTGCCTCAGCCTCCCAAAGTGATAGGATTACAGGCGTGAGCCACCTTGCCCGGCCTAATACTTGTGTTAACTTTTAAGACATGTATTTCAGCCACAGAACCTGAGATCAGCTGGGATTAAAGTATCTTGTCCTAAATCACATACACGACATAAAAAGAGAGCCACACATATCTTGTGACTTCGAGTCCAAGCAATTTCACTAAAATGAGTTTAATATCAAATAGGACTGATAGACAACACAAATGATATTTTATCTTGATAAAATCAGATCCTTTAGTCATCTGGAAGGTTGGATGATACCACTACATCATAGTATTTACATTTGGAGCTCTTATTACTTCTCTGCATAGTATTTACATTTGGAGCTCTTGTTTCCTCATCATAGTATTTACATTTGGAGCTCTTGTTTCCCCACAGAACATTCTAACCTTCTTGTCTTACTGAATATTCATTTCAGCCATGCATTATTACATAATATACTATCTAAGTAATAATGCAACAATAAATTGGTAATAATAAGACTTTGAATCCTTGGTTATCTTGAATTTCACCTATCCTTCATTATAACTCAAAGAAAGGCCACTTGAGCTAAGTCTTAAAAGATAAGAAATGTTGGTGTTCTAGTGCAGATTAAAGTTATATACAATTTATTTGAAGGCCATGTCCTTTCAACTTCATTTTCACCCACAGGGACTCTATTTATTTGTTTTGTGCTATGTGAAAATCAGCCCCTTTTATTCCCCAGATGTTAGTGGGGACACTACAAACAGTTCTTGTGCAGTCTGAGTATTTCCTCATTAAGGAATGAATAGGTAGAATATGAAAAATGTAGCCAAGGAATTAAGTGGGGAAAAGAGCAGCGAGGAGAGAGCTTTGGTATAGAACAAAGAACTATGTTTAAAGATCAAATACCCTGGTTCAAAACCTAGGTCCAGCATTTATTAGTAGTATGATCTTGGGCCTCTTCAAACTTTATTGTCCTTATGTTCAAAATAGATACCTTAATAGCACTTAGAGCCCCAAACAATTTTACAATGCTCAAGTTCATGTAGTTTATGTGAAAATGTGTGTAAAATATAATAGGTGCTCAAAAATTATTAGTTTCTTTTTTCATGCATGTATACTTATTTTCCTATTTAGAGTGTAAATTCCTTCAGACCAAGGTCTCTATTTTAACATTCTTTATTAAACAAGGTTTAACCTGGTATTTCTCACATAATAGTGACACAGTAAGTAAAATGACATAAAATTTAAAAAGAGAAGAACAGATGGGTAGAGAGGCAAGAAGGGCTGATATAGTAGGATATCTTTTGTAGATGGCTCTGAAATTTGCTTAGTTGAATATAGAATAGTTGCAATTGCAAAGTTTTCAATCAGTAAGATTTTTTTCCCCAACTGTTACCGGGGGTCCTTGCTCCCAGAGCTCCCACGATGGTGGTAGGCCACTTCCAAAATGGTGGCAAGCCTCGTGTTCTCTGACCTGCAGTTCTTGGCCTCACGGATTCCAAGGAATGGAATTTTGGGCCATGTGGTGAGTGTTATAGTCTATTAGAAGCTGTGGGTCATGGAAGAGAACTGTGGAACCCAGTGACTAGTGTTCAGCTAGATTAGGACGAACCCAGGCACTTAGCCATGCAGGAACAATGGCAAGCCTTTAGCCCAATTGGGAGTGGCAATGGGTGCCTGGCTGGATGAGGAGCACAGTGGACACCCTGCAGGATCCGCAGGGATGGAAGTCAGCGGCGGGTCTGCAATGGCGTCAAGCAGCAGTGGTGGATGGCGAGCAAAAGCTCACCTCGAGCGGTAACAAACATGGACCAGAAGAGTGCAGTTGCAAGATTTAACAGAGTGAAGTAGAGTGAAAACAGAGCTCCCATACAAAGGGAGGGGACCCAAAGAGGGTATCTGTTGCCTGCTCGAATGCCTGTGTTTATATCCCAATCATTGTCCCTCCCGATGTGCTCTCAGGCAATAAATGATTGGCCATTTCTTTACCTCCTGTTTTTGCCTAATTAGCATTTTAGTGCTATCCGGTTGGTCGGGTATGAGCTAAGTTGCAAGCCCCCTGTTTAAAGGTGGAAGCGGTCACCTTCCCAGCTAGGCTTAGGGATTCTTAGTCGGCCTAGGAAATCCAGCTAGTCCTTTCTCTCACAACCTGCTCAATAATGGGTCCAGTTCCAAAGACCAGACATAAAAAACAAAACAAAACAAAACAAAATACATTTTCATTTTCAATTTATTTAAAATAGGAAAATGGGAATCTGTGCTATTTATTGAAAGATAGGGATTCCCATGCTACATCATAAGTCACACATACACACACATACACCATACGCTTCAAACTGTGTTGGTAAATTCACTCCTCACAAAAATATTTGAAACACAAGATGTATAAAGAAACTCACAAATTAGCTAAGGTGAAATAATCGCTTTCATTTTCTTCTGTTTTTCTAAAAGGGCTGACACAAGCTGAGATGAGGAAATATGACCTCCTACACGTGTTTTCCATGAGGAATATGTTTGCTGTGCAGTCACTGAGTTAAAAGCAACCTTCATTCCCTTGTGCACCAAGGTAATTTGGAAAACAAGCCAGAGAAGTCAGGACTGCTATTTCTCAGTCTGATTTAACCATTGACAGACTATTTTTACATCCACTATGGAGATGTTCAGGTGAGATAAACACCGCAGAGAATACTGAGGAAACACTTACTTTCACATGAGTAATACATTATGATAACTCACATCTTCTAATAATATAATCTTGTTTTGAATTCAAACAACTTTCATACTATTTGGTGTAGTGCCTGAATCTAATCCTGTTTCTACCATCTAGCTTTCTCATACAGAATACCTAATGAAATTTGCCCTTCACTGTTACTTGAATTCAATTAAGGTGATGCTATCTCTGTTCTGTGTTCTGATAAACTCACTGAGGTATCACTTTCTCTGATAAATACCCAGGTATCTTAATGAGGTCAATGTCACTACTTGTTTAATTAACTTTTATTTTCTGTAATTCACATACTGGTGGTTTCCACTGGGATGTCTTATTAAAAGAAAGTGCTGTTATTAAATATAGAGTAAAAATCATTCCTGTATAACTCCATAGTTGAGAGTATTGAAGCTCTTATACAATTCTTTCAATGAAATGTTTTGTGAAATTATAAGCTAATGCTCACTATTTCAAAGACACTAAGTAAAGTTGTGTCTATGTTTTGAAAAAGAAATTATTAACCATGTTTTACCTTAACTCTTTGCTAGAAGCTCTCTGGATATTCTGATCAAAAGCCTAGGTGGGATGTAATTTATTAACCATAACAGCTTGTTAAGCCTTGGATTACTCAAAATTGTTCCTAAAATTGTTGAGCAATTTAATGTATTGGATAGAGACCTTTAGCTTTAAAAATGATACTACTGAATATGAAAATATAGAATCTATTGCTAATCCACGAAGAGAGGCAAATGTCCTCTGGGTGTGTATGGCAGATGCTCCTGACAGCAATAACTTAACCATACCCCGAGAATGACCCTACCTTCTAAGAAGAATGTGTGTTTGGAGTTCTAAGCAAGAAACCTGGGGGTAGCCAACTGGAGATTCATTCCTTATGTATGAAGGATATCTGATCCATTGGCCTATCCCTTGGAATGCAGACCATACAGGGGATTGAAGCCCTTTGTTTGGGGTTAAATGGGGGTTGCTACGTGGAGTGTGCAAAGTGAAAATTGCTATATAGACCACATGCTTTTACAAGTGGTAGCATCTGTCCTGTCCAGCCCACTACCACTGGACCATCCCATACGTAAGTCTTCAATAAACTTGATGTCTCTTTTGCAGGCTCTGGGTCTCTTTCTTGGCCTCTCAGACACAGTGCCATTCCTAGTGGAGCCAGTAGGGGTCCAACATGACAGGGTCTTTAAATACTTCTTTAAAATCTAGCATTTATCCCTTTGATTATGTATTTCTACATAAAACCTTTAAAATCATTTTAAATCCAAAAGAAGAAACAAATATTTTCTTTTAAAATGATGTTAATAATCCCTTGAGCAGATACTTTTCCTTATGAACATGCAGATAGATGTTTACATGGCTATTTGTCAGTGCCTGAAATTTAAACATATTTTATCTAATGGGGAAAATCAGTCACACTAAGGAAATTTAAAAGTGAAGGTAAGCTTTTATGGTAAGAGTCACATCAAGATTTCGTGCAACTTTTGCAGGCACATATTTTCACTGAACTAAAGTTCATGCAGTGAGACACATCTGAAGATAATTTTTTTTAAAAAAAGATATTTCTTCTCTCCACTTTTTTCCCCAAAGTGTTTACTACTTTAAATATTTTTAATATCATTCTACTCAAGCCACTTGGTTAATGGCGGTAACTATCTGGAATTGTATGCTAATGATTTACTGGTTTATGGCGATGGCAAAAAACAAACAAAAACTGCTATATCATTAATTGCTTCTTAACACCAAAGCCTGTTGGAGCAATATTCCTTAAGCATCATTTTTATTGCTGAAAAAGAATATCAATATTCTATGTATGAATGTATGTGCTACAGTATAACCTGTACTTTTAAATCTCATCTTTAATGTGTTGAAGCTAAGCTTTAACTCTGGATTAGCAGATATTTGATGTCTCAATAATTGAAAAATTTTTATGCCTACTAGCCAAAAATTATTTTTTCCTTAGACATTGAGATAAGAAACAGACCAACTCCAGAGAATTGAAATTATTAAGTCATTTAGATTCATCCAACTTCCACCCAAGCAGCAGCCATTCTAGACTAACAACTTCCTCCCTCCTCCACAGCCCGCTCCTACCTCCTCCCAGTAACTCCAAACTAAAAACAGATTTTAAAAATATAAACCAATACTTTGGGAGGAGAGTCTTTTCTCATATAATATAAATCTTCTAGAAATGTTGGAAAGGGTAGTTCATGAGAAGGAGAATTGTTTTTCCTGGGCTTATAGATTTTAACGTTAAAACGAAAGCAGAGCAATTACATTCTTCATAAAATTACAATTTAGTGACTTCTGACCTTTTCCTCATCCGGTCCCCAAGTATTCCTCATTCCAATAGTAATAGCATTAGGGGGAAAAAAAGGCCCACATTTACAAGAATTTAGCTTCTGGCAAGCATCATTTTAAAGAATTTACTTCCTGGCTCATGGTTTACATGACCTGTCTTTGGTTGCTTATTTCTTTCCTTCCACCCTTCCCCCCTCCTCTTCAAAGCAAGCTGCATTTTAACTATTGCATTCACTGCTGCTTCCTGCCTTTTTTGCTTTCTATTTTCATATCCATGGGAATGGAATCTGCTCTGAATTATCTGGTCAATATCTCCTCATTCCCCATCTCCACCCACCACCGCTGTTACTGCTACACCAGCCACTTTTGACTTAGAGAAAAGCTAGCATAATTAATTCAGAAATAAAAATGCATTATAAAATATTAGCTGATGCTATAAAGACACATGCCCACGTATGTTTATTGCGGCACTATTCACAATAGCAGAGACTTGGAACCAACCCAAATGTCCAACAATGATAGACTGGATTAAGAAAATGTGGCACATATACACCATGGAATACTATGCAGCCATAAAAAATGATGAGTTCATGTCCTTTGTAGGGACATGGATGAAATTGGAAATCATCATTCTCAGTAAACTATCGCAAGAACAAAAAACCAAACACCGCATATTGTCACTCATAGGTGGGAATTGAACAATGAGAACACATGGACACAGGAAGGGGAACATCACACTCTGGGGACTGTTGTTGGGGGCAGAGGGGGGAGGGATAGCATTAGGAGATATACCTAATGCTAAATGACGAGTTAATGGGTGCAGCACACCAGCATGGCACATGTATACATACGTAACTAACCTGCACATTGTGCACATGTACCCTAAAACTTAAAGTATAATAAAAAAAATGACAGGCTTCAAATATTCTCTGGAATATGTCATCTGTAAACTAAATATTGGACTTGATAAAAAAATAAAATAAATAAAATATTAGCTGATTAAATCCCTTCAGTATTCCTTCTTTTTAGAAGCTGTTAGTGCCAAAGAAAAACTTTAATTATGTTGATATCTAATTTTGGGGGGGATGGGGGGGGCAAGTACATAAAATATATGGTCCTACTCTTAAAAAATTATTTTATCTTATTTCTATTGCTAATTCATACTTCTTGTACTCCATTATTTTAATAACAACAACAAAAAAACTCACTCAAAAGTTACATGTATGAGGAATCAAATTTCCATTATTTGTTTTACCAGGAAATGAAAGAATGAACTTTTTGGCAAAAATTGAGGAAAAAAATTTGTTAGCAGAGGTAAATCTCAGTTTATACTATGCATGTTTGAAACTTGAAGAACAACACACAAGAGAATTACACTGGAGAATGTGGAGAAACTTTTTAGTTGTTTTACTTTTAGGTAAATTGGATTCCTAATTTCTCTAGTTTAAGAAAATTTTCAATTAAATGTAAAATTACTACCTTTAAGAACATTCATTCAAAAGAAAAAGAGTAACAAAAATTAGCCTGGAAATCATGTTTTATGTTATCTATATCAATTTTTTTTCAAATTAGAGTTTTAAAAAACACCTGTTTTCAATATGGTAAGTCAAATCATGCTCCCAGTTATTAGACAATTATGCTCCCAGACTCTGTGGCTCAAAAGTAAAAGCAGACACCAGAGCCCATGGCAGGGTGAGGGAGCAGTCACTGTGTCCTTAGAAAGTGTTGCAAAACCTGTTTTTCTACAACTAACTAAAATAACAGTTCCTGGAAACAACTGCAGCTGAGAATTCCCTAACTGACTATAAAAGAACCACATGGCACAAGCCAACCAACCACCAGCCACCTGGAACCAGCCAATTAAGAGAAAGTGGTGATTTGGGGCTTAAACGCCATCCAATTAAGACTCTGTTCTACACTCCCCTGACTCCCCCTGCAGCTTTTGCCTTTATAATCTCTAACTTTCCAACCCCCAACCCCAGAGTGCATCATTGGTTTGCACCAAAGTCTGTGTCTCCCCAGTCTGCAGATTGTTTTAAAAAAGTAAAGTTCTCCTTTTTCCTCCAAAGATCTCATGGTCTTTTTTGTTAACAGGTATAATAGAGCACAATTGTTGTCACTTATTTAATGTATAAAAAGAAAGTAATGCTTTCCTTATTTTAGTTTTGTTAATATGATCAGTCTCCACTCTTGGTCTCTGCCCTTTATGGTCTATTTTCTTGTTTCTATTTCTGCTATCCGTGGTTGATTATCTTCACAATTTTCCATTCAAATTCCAAAGAAATAATTCCAAATTCATATGTGAATAACCCAACATATTACCATTTTTCCTCTTACTCATGATTTTCTGTGCAAGACGCTACCAGATTTGCTGACTTAGATACCACTGTCTGGTAAAATTGGTTGTCACTTTTTCCAAGGGATATCCAAGGGATATCCAAGGGATATCTCCTTCTTCAGTAGGTTTTTCAGCAGTGTAGTTTCCCTTAAAAGACTTGGTTGGACATAGCAATTTCTGAAGAGGACAGATTTTGAACAGTGGAGAATCCGTGGTGGGGGCTGCAAATAGTTTTTTGAGCTGAAGCAAAGGTGTCCTGAGAAGAAAAATGTTGGAGATGAGACTAGAGAAGCCTCATGAAAGGCCTCACATGTGATGATGTGCAATTGGAAATTCAACCTAAACTCTAAGGGAAAGCTGCTCTCATTACCCCACATTTGCATTTAAAAACAGACATTCATATAAGTTAAATGTATTCCTTCAATTTCATGTATGGAATAAATAAGTTTCAGAGCCAGGAAAAAGGGCTCAATTGTCTTTCTACTACATCAAAATTTTGTCATCTCAGCCTAAATTCTGCAGAATCTACCAAGGTAAGGTGCTCAATATCAATAGTTATTTTCTATGCTTAACTTAAATGGAAGTGTCTTACGTCATTGTTTCTTTTTAGTGAATGATTTAAGATCTTAAAAATTGTCTCATATACTGTGTTCTTAATCTTGCATTTTATTCATTCATTCATTTTTTGCTTATTTTTTCGTTTTTTTCTTGACATTTTCTGACTTGATTTAGATGAATGTCTTTTGTTCCTTGATGAATTTAAAGTTCTACATCTATTTCTATTCTGAGTGTTTACTCAAATAATTAATAATTTTATTTTCCTATTGATGTCTAAAATTAATAATACTCCATAACCCAAAAATTAAGCAAGGTTTATAATGAATCCTCTCTAACCGTGTTATACTAAAACCATCTGAAAATTTACTTACAGGAAATTTTTTTTAAATGCTTTTAAAAATTTTAATATTTTCTTTTCAGACAACTTTATAGCCTCATTATTGCTAAAGTTTCATACAGTGTAGATTTTTAACACTATATACCAATCCATTTGTAATAATAATACATCACTTATCTATCCTACATGTAACTATTGCAAACAATATAGCAACTGAAATATAATTCCTACATCATAAGGTATATGTTTTAGTTTCAATTGATATGACATATTTATTTACGCAATTAGTTATAGAAATGCAATATATGAGATTTTTCAAATGCTTGCCATCTTTTAAAAATTTATTTTTATTTTTCTGATTGGTAGGAAATCCTTTTATAAAATGATAACCATTCAAATTTTTGTCTTCTGTGAATTGCCTAATCATATCCTTTTAATATTTTCTGTTAGATTGTTGCCTTTTTCATGTTGACCTAGAAAATTTCTTTATATATTTGTGCTCTAATACATTCTGTCTATGGTCTAATCCTGTTTATAGTGTCATTTGTCAAAGTGAAGTTTTAATATTAACATGGTCATACTAGAGTACATTAATAGTAATAGAATTCTAATAATGTTAGCCTATTTGCTTTATTTTTGTTTCTTTTCATGTGCTAAAACCATAGATGTCTAGAAGATGACGACACACACATATACACACACACATATATACCCACATACACATTCTTTTACAAATTCTTATTTTTAAATTCATCTTGGATTTACATTTTTTAAATTTACATTTTATTACTTTTCTGTTAATATATTGTAATTTTAGAAATTAAGAACTTGTTTTTAACTATTCCTGGAAATTTTTCAACTATTACTTTTCCAAATATTGCTTTGTCTTTATTTTCCCTATTGTCCATTCTCAAATTCCTATTAAAAATATGTTGACCAGGCTGGGCGCTGTGGCTCATGCCTATAATCCCAGCACTTTGGGAGGCCGAGGTGGGCGGATCACGAGGTCAGGAGATCGAGACCATCCTGGCTAACACGGTGAAACCTCGTCTCTAGTAAAAATACAAAAAATTAGCCAGGCATGGTGGCGGGCACCTGTAGTCCCAGCTACTTGGGAGGCTGAGGCAGGAGAATGGCATGAACCTGGGAGGCAGAGGTTGCAGTGAGCCGAGATTGTGCCACTGCACCCCAGCCTGGGCAACAGAGCGAGACTCCGTCTCAAAACACAAACAAACAATAAAAATATGTTGACCAGGTGTGGTGGCTCACACCTATAATCCCAGCACTTTGGGAGGCCAAGTTGAGTAGATTGCTTGAGTCCAGGAGTTCAAGATCCACCTGGGCAATATAGGGAGACTGCCATCTCTACAAAAACTTAAAAAAAAAAAAATTAGCCAGGCATAGTGGCCTGAGCCTGCAGTCCCAGTTGTTTGGAGGCTAAGTTGGGAGGATCATTTGCACATGGGCCCTGGAGGTCGAGGCTCCAGTGAGCTGATTGCACCACTGCACTCCAGCCTGGGCAACAAAGCGAGACTCTGTCTCAAAAAAAAGAAAAAAAAATAGTTGACCTTCCACTTTACCCTTTATATCTCTTAACCTCTGTTTCATGTTTCTCATCTCTTTATGTCATTTTGCAGCTTCTAGAGAGTTTCTTCAGCTCTATATTCTAGTTCATCAGTATTCTTTTCCCATATTCAGTTATTTGGCCTGTCTACAGAGTATATGTTTTTCATTTCTATGTATTCAATTCTAAAAAATTGTTTGTTTTCCTTTTCATATCTGCTTATTTTTATTCAGTGTTTTTCAGTGTTGTTTAACTTCATTTTTGCAACACTTAACAATTATATTCAGAAATTGCAAAAGTATATTTTATATTGTTCTACTATCTCAGACTCTTGGAGAGCTAATCTTACTCTCCTCTGTTGACTTGACTTCATGGTACATTGCTTCTCCTGTGGTTCAAAAGTATTTACAGAGATACCATTTCAAAGAATTTCCCTTTCCTCCTGACAATCCTCACTGCTCTGGATTGTGGAAGTGTTCCTATATAGGCATTTTGCTTTGCTTTTCCTACTAAGTAGTTCTCAGGGTGACTTTCCCTAGATAAATTTATTTAATGTAATTCCCACATTTATTCCTTCCTCCAGCCTTTACCTTCTCCAATCCATGACAGAAACTAATTGAAGTTTTCTCTTCCTAAAGAAGGCCTATTAGCATGACAAACATCCTAAATCTACCTGTATTATTTTTTTTCTAATCCAATTTGGAACACCAAGCTTGCTAGGAGGATGGATATATAGTTCAATACACCTACAAAAAAAGGTTTTTAAATAGAGAGAATATTGCATTTCTTCTTAATTATGAAAACAATCATTAAGAAAGCAATACACTAAATAATCATAATGGGATGGAGTATTATTTATAGCTGTAACAGTTGAGATTCTATATTAAAATAATGATTCTCAATTACTGCCTCTTTAAAGAGAACATTTAGATTTTAAGGACTCTCTGGCAGACTATTTGGAAGTAACTCATTGATGGTGCTACCTTCGGACCCTGTTTCTAAATCTTTAGGCAGAGATATAATCTTAACTTTTTCTTTTCTATTCTAAAAGAAATAAACAATGAAGTACCTAATCTGAAACATTTTGGTTTGTATGTAAGAAAGTGGTTGATCTATTTTAGCCATACAACTACTGTGTTTTTTGACATGGTTTTTCTCCACCCAATTTTAAATTAGATTGCATTTCTTGAGAGTAAACACATCCCTGTTTGGAGAAGGAATGAAATCTGATTGTAGTGTCAGCTGAGAAAATCAGCCATGTATGAAAAATGTTCACCAGTAATGTAGTTAATGAGAATCCATTAAGATGAAGATAGGTTTGATTTTCCTTTCTGACATAAGTTCTTTATTTTAGGTAGTGCCTCTCCAGAGCTGTAGATGTCTTCCCAGGATATTCCATCATTCTACACAGCATTTAATTCTTGGAGCTCACAGTCCAAGACTGTTATCAGTCCATTTTCACTCTATTGATCAAGACATACTCAAGACTGGGTAATTTATAAAGAAAATGAATGGACTCACAGTTTCACGTTGCTGGGGAGGCCTCACAGTCCAGGCAATCACAGTCTTACATGGCAGCAAGCAAGAGCGAATGAGAACCAAGCAAAAGGGAAACTCATTATAAAACCATCAGCTATTGTGAGACTTCTTCACTACCACAAGAATAGTATGGGGTAAACCTCCCCCATGATTCAATTATCTCCCACCAGGTTCCTCCCAGAGCACGTGGGAATTATGGGAGCTACAATTCAAGATGAGATTTGGGTAGGTACACAGCCAAACTATATCAGTGACTCATCTAGAATTTTATTCATATAGGTTTAAACAATGGTTAACATGTACAGTTATAAGATCATTCTCATTTACAAATTTAATGTTTACAACAATCCTAAAAGTCAGGTATAGCTTTTAAGCATCATTTTACAGATGAAGAATCTTTCCCAAGATTACACAGCTGGAAAGTGGTACAGTGAGGCTTTGACCCTCATGTTTTGCCTCCAGATCCCCTGCACTTAGGGGTTGTGCTGTACTGTTTACTAGGTGCAACTGGTCATTTTACTATATGAGAAAAGTGCAACTGCTCTATTGAATTGAATGATTTTGCCTCCAATTTAGATTCAGGTCTAGTCTTTGTGAAATATTTCTGATGAACAACTTACTGATATGAATAATTGTATCTCTGTTAGAGTTATTTTATTAGACTCAATATTTCCAAAAGCACTGGAAAAAATCTATTATCCAAGTAATCTCTTTATGCAGGAAAATTAGTTTGGTATTGATTCTCCCTTAACTTATGACACCAGAGCAAAACTGATTAGAAAACTTAGGAATGAATCCATGAATTCAATTAAAAAAAAGAAATGGTTAATTGTGTTAATGCACATTCCTCTTTGTAACATGCAGATGTTCTAAAGTAATTGAAGAAATAAATTTCCTCTCTCCAACCGATGAAATGTACTCCCTACTAGTTGGTCCCCCTGCTGCAACTTTTTATTTATCTGACTGTAGGCGCTGGGAACCAATCCACCAGTATAAGAAACTCCTCCAGCTAAATAGAAGGAAACATCTTTTTATAAACTGCAGACTCCAGTACTCAGTTTTATCATAAACTCTTATGATGAAAAACAACAGGCACTATGCCACATCCATGGGTTTAATTCTAATGTTTGAAGACATGCTTGTCATTATCATGTAACTCAAGCTACATAAAATATTATTCAGATTCCCTAAGGAAACATTTCAAAATGTTATATGGTTAGGTTCTCTCATTTCCCAAAAGGTAATTAGAAGAATGAGTAGTAGAAAAACGGTATGCTTGGCAAATCTTTGACTTTCACACCCCCATCACCCATTTTTTGCCTTTAAACTGATCATTTGCTGGCAGCAGATGGGTAATAGGATGAAAGTTTTCAATATGGTGTGGTGGGGATGTATGTTTCCAGACACAACATCAAAGAGTACCAAGCAGAGTTCTTAATGTGATTAACAAAGAGGCATGGAATCTGCTATCAATCTTCCTTGTTACTGTCATAGTACTTCCAGGACTGTTAAAGAAACTTTACAATAGCTGAATACATGTTACACATACAGACCAAGAAGTGCCCTGGGCAGTGTAGCAGAATTTACAGCAAGTGCATTTTTTGAATTTCTGCTTCTGAGTCACTACTGTCAGTCTGACATTTGTATCTCAGAAGTCTTCCTACCTTAATGTTGACAAGGCAAATAAAGGCTATGCCATCAATCTGTAACGATATTTGCTCCATTTGAAAATGTTATCCTGAAAAGTATATTTCACTGTGATTAACACTGTTACAAGATAAAAGTGTATTGTTATCTTTTAAATTCCTCATTCAACTTCCGTTTTTGTAATTGTAGAGAGAAACTAAAGCATATTTCTATCACAGTAATTTTATTTCATTTATGTTCACACAATGTAACCTATGAAGCTTTCAGTTTTGGTTATACATTAATCTCTGGTTTTAATAAGAACCATAGTATTAAAGGGCTGACTTTAAATGCCTGGGATTTCCTGAAGAAAGTCTTAGAATAATGTTGATGCATTTTCTACACAGTGGAAGAATTTTCTTTGTTGTTGTTGTTGTTGTTGTTTTGAGATGGAGTTTCGCTCTGTCTCCCAGGCTGGTGTGCAATGGCGCGATCTCTGCTCACTGCAATCTCCGCCTCCCGGGTTCAAGCGATTCTCCCACCTCAGCCCCCCAAGTGGCTGGGATTACAGGCACCTGCCATCATGCCTGGCTAATTTTTGTATTTTCAGCAGAGACGGGGTTCCACCACGTTGGCCAAGCTGGTCTCGAACTCCTAACCTCAGGTGATCCACCCGCCTTGGCCTCCCAAAGTGCTGGGATTATAGGTGTGAGCCACCGTGCCCAGCCTAACAGTGGAAGAATTTTCTTCAGCTTGCATTACTGCTTAACTAGGGTACTATTGAACTCATCAGGATTTTTAGTTTCAATCTGGAAGAGAAAGAAGATAAAATTAAGAGCCTTGGTGGAGGGTCTGGCATGCATTCAGAGAGATGGAAAATGAAAAGAAATGAGTGACAAACAAGGTACATTTTGGAGTGAAACAGAGAAGCTAATGTACACCATTTCATTTAACATTAATAGTCCATATAGAGTAGGGAGATAGAATAATTTCACAATATGTATGGAAGCTCAGGCTAGAGTTAAAGAAATGTGGAAGAAGTCTGAAAGAGAAAATACTGAAATTTGGAAATCCCAAATAGAATTTTGGCTCAATAAGGGAAAAATAGAAAGTTTATTTAGCAGTAAGGCAGGTCAAAATGAAATTTGATAGATTGTGTTTGTAATGTAACCAATCAATTTTTTTTTTGTATAGCTTTCTCCTGCAATAGTCAGAAGATGAGGGAAAAAATTGAGAGATTAAGTGGGAAGTTAGGACAGACAATCAAGACCATGGAAATTCTGATCAATCAGAAGAGTGGAAGATCAAATCTCTGGCTTGAAGGTTGAGGACAAAATCCAGCTTATGAGAGAATAAGATAACTCAGATTAGTAAGTTAAGATCAGAGAGGAAATTTCAGAAATGATGATCTTGGAAGAGAGATATTGGAATAATGATGGCAATGAATGTGTGGCCTGTTTATATTACACCATAAACATTGTATCATTGTCAAAATTCATCGACATTTAGAAATTACAGAGTTGGGGGTCTAGTTATGAAGCCACCATATTTAAATAAGGTTTGATGTTTATTTTTAAAGGTTATACTTATTTACAAAGTTCTAGCCCTAGTTATCAAGTATATCCTTGAATATTAATTTTACTCAAAGGTTATTTGAAGGGCACAAAATTATTTTTATGCATCTTTATTTCATTCAAGGAGTAAAACCAGCTCAAACTATTCCCTAGCAGAGGACAGTGTTTTCCCAAATTAGGAGATATTATATGTATGTATATAACATACATATAAAAATGTATAACATTTTTTCTTACCTGAGAAAAGAGAGAGTCAGGCATTTTTTTATATTTTCAGAAATAATAAAGTTACCCTTCCCTTTAATTACATCTTTTTTCAGTCTCATCCTTCTCCAAAAGTACTGGCTGGTGTATTTGCTTTTTATATTCATTAGTGACCATTTGGTAAGTAGTTCACCTTCTCTTAGCTTTTTTTTTTGCTTTTTGCTTTTATACTTTAATCCTGCTGACATCTTTCAATGCATAATGAAAAACAGCTCTGCCTTTTCCTGGCTTCCTTATTTCTGAGTACTATGGCAACGGATGCTAGTTGACTTAGTAAAACTTGAAAATGTCACATTGCTCTTCATTCTTTGATGAATGCACATTCATGAATATAGCTGCATGCAAAAGCAATTAAGGCAGCCTTAAAAAGCACCATAACCAAAGTCACCCTCAGATGATATTCCCCAGGTGGTGTATTCAGAGCAACCCTTTCCTAGTATTAAAAATACACATATTGTTTGTCTCTGAGAATGATTAGCAATCACTTTTAGTAACACTTCTTATGAAACAAAATGATTTCTGTAAATAAATCTTAATTCCAAATCACTGAATTCACTCAGAATATATTTTTCCTCCAAAACTAGGGAAACATATCAAAAACATAAAATAAGAAGAAACAAATGGACAAATTATTTAACACAAATATAAATTACAACTTAAACCTTTGTTGACTCATATAAAACAAACATGAATATATGCACACATGGATACACATATGCACGCAACTTTAACTTACCAGATTTTAACAAGAAATTTCAATGCGAAAACATATTTAAGAATGTTTGTGGTGTAATGGAAAACATTTACTCATAAAATGACATTGATTCTATGTTTAATAATCTACACCCCAAAAAATGGCTATATAGAATTATGACCACAACAATATTGGATTCTTATTTTTTATTAAAATAAAAATAATTATACTTATAGCGGCTAAGTGTTTTGTCATTGTCAATATACATTTTCTGGTATTGCTATAATTTTTATTGATGATTTTATATTAAATAACATATAGAATCTCATATTTATATAGGGTGCTTTATAACAAAATGCATTTACCCACCGTTACTTGATGTCTATTCTAATTATTTCAATATTTGTGCCATGTGTAAATGGCATATCCTATTATTTACATTTTAAAGTTGAGGAAACCAAGATTTGAAAGCCTAATATTTGAAATCACAACATTATGAAGTAAAAAAATAAAATGTTACCTAAGCCTTCTAACTTTATATTCAGAGCTCTTTTATCATCATATTATCTCATCCATGTATATAGTTTAATTAAATAAATTTTCTAAATAATGTTCTTTAGAAAAATTGAGCTGTTGAATAAGAATATTCTAAAGTCACCAGTGATGAAGACGATGAATCAATCAATATCAGCCATAACACTGTGAAGATCAATGAATATCAGCCATAACACTGTGTGACGTGATCTCTATGCAATACAAAGAAGTCTTTGAAGTCTGTAAAAATGCCATATTTGAAAGAAGTAAAGTACTGCTAAGTATACCCAGGACTTGTTCATAATTATTAATTAATCAATCATATTTCATGGAATGGCATAATAAAATGTACAATAAACTTAAAGCTTTAGAGAGAAAGCTACATTTCTATATACATAATTCACTTGTATCAAATAATGTCATTCTATTTAAAGTCAGCATTTAAGAGTACCCAGACAAAGGAGTTAAAAGAAAATTTCCTTCTGATAATTTCTAGTAGTCCAAAGAAAGACAAAAAGTTTAAAGTGAGCCTGTAACAGAAGCTAGACATGGAAATTAGCGCAGCTTTAAAATGCGATCATTCTCTTCAGGAAAAGGTCATAAATGAGGTTCATGTAAGTGAAGCTTAAAATAAACAGTTCGAGCTTCCAAAAGAAATGCATCTTGGCCACACAATCACTCAAGGGACCTACCAGGAAGCTCATTAAAAAGAGTGCCAAAACTTCTGTAGAGGCAGTAATAGTGAAGGGTTAAGTGTGTGAACTCTGAAATAAGACAGATTGGGTTTAAAGCTCAGCTCTCCCAATTTCTACCTAAGTTTGCATAAACTTATTTCTAAGTTGGCATAGACTTAGAACAACATCTTAACCTCTTGTGCTCTAGATTCCTCATATGTAAGACAGGAATGATAATAGTAACCTATATCATGGAATTATTGTAGAAAATAAATGTGTTAATAGAGTGAAAACAAATGGATTGAGTACTTGGCTCCATCAATAGAAATAACTTCAGGCTATGGAGCACTCTGGGGATAGTCAAATTAATAGAGCAGCTGTCAACAGCTGATATTCCTGATGCTTCTGCAGTATTCCCCACTAGCCTGCAAAATAATATGAAAACCAACAATTAGATTGCACTGAATGCATTTCCAAAAGTATTTCAATCTTAAAAATTGAAATGAGAAAAATGATTTTGAGCATACAGAAATAAATATGAATGGCTAAAAAATACTATAATCAAGATTGAAAAACAAGTGAAACATTGGAAATGTGATTTGTAGCAAATAAGAAAAAGAAACTTGAACACTTTTAATATATAAAACACTTGATAAGTCAGTTAAAATGAAAATAATTTCAAGAGATGGACAGATGCTTCATAAAATTTGACATATAAATGGGCAAAGAGATATGAATACATTTTCCACTGTATGGTCTAAAGTTAAACATTAAAACACTGTACGAAAGCATTATTGATCACTACAAATGACAAAAATTTAAGAGACTAAGAACTAATAGCGAAGAAGATACAAGGCACTCTCATTTTTTTTGGTAGAAATATACAATTAAAATAAACTTTCCAAGGGGCAATTTGGCTAAATTGTTTAATAATCCAAACATGTCCATACTGATTTACCTATGCATTCTATTGTTAAAATTTACTGTTAAAAATGACCAGCTTTACAATATTATTTACAATGTTTATAGTTTTAAAAACATGGAAAGAAAACAAGAATACTTCAATAGAGGAAATAGATATATTAATGTAATAAAATAGTTACTGTGTAAAATAATATAAATTGATATTTATTATGGCTTAGAAAAAAGATTAACGAGTGGGTGATCTTCTTTAAAAAATTTATAGTTTTAGACACATTGATAACAAAAATGAGAGTAATCGTTAATGTCTACTTGTCCACATACATACAGGCTTGCTTAAGTGACTATATATTGCTCGGCCAACTTTTCAAATTGATTTGAAAAATCAATTTTTTCCAGACAGAGACAACTAGAACCAATGCCACAAAAACATTTTTAAAAACTGACTTATTTCATTGAGACGTGGTTTGCAGTTCTCCTTGAAGAGGTCCTTCACATCCCTTGTAAGTTGGATTCCTAGGTATTTTATTCTCTTTGAAGCAATTGTGAATGGGAGTTCACTCATGATTTGGCTCTCCGTTTGTCTGTTATTGGTGTATAAGAATGCTTGTGATTTTTGTACATTGATTTTGTATCCTGAGACTTTGCTGAAGTTGCTTATCAGCTTGAGGAGATTTTGGGCTGAGATAATGGGGTTTTCCAGATATACAATCATGTCATCTGCAAACAGGGACAATTTGACTTCCTCTTTTCCTAATTGAATACCCTTTATTTCCTTCTCCTGCCTGATTGCCCTGGCCAGAACTTCCAACACTATGTTGAATAGGAGTGGTGAGAGAGGGCATCCCTGTCTTGTGCCCATTTTCAAAGGGAATGCTTCCAGTTTTTGCCCATTCAGTATGATATTGGCTGTGGGTTTGTCATAGATAGCTCTTATTATTTTGAGATATGTCCCATCAATATCTAATTTATTGAGAGTTTTTAGCACGAAGGGTTGTTGAATTTTGTCAAAGGCCATTTCTGCATCTATTGAGATAATCATGTGGTTTTTGTCTTTGGTTCTGTTTATATGCTGGATTACATTTATTGATTTGCGTATGTTGAACCAGCCTTGCATCCCAGGGTTGAAGCCCACTTGATCATGGTGGATAAGCTTCTGATGTGCTGCTGGATTTGGTTTGCCAGTATTTTATTGAGGATTTTTGCATCGATGTTCATCAAGGATATTGGTCTAAAATTCTCTTTTTTGGTTGTGTCTCTGCCAGGCTTTGGTATCAGGATGATGCTGGCCTCATAAAATGAGTTAGGGAGGATTCCCTCTTTTTCTATTGATTGGAATAGTTTCAGAAGGAATGGTACCAGCTCCTCTTTGTACCTCCGGTAGAATTCGGCTGTGAATCCATCTGGTCCTGGACTTTTTTTGGTTGGTAAGCTATTGATTATTGCCTCAATTTCAGAGCCTGTTATTGGTCTATTCAGACAAATGGAAGAACATTCCATGCGCATGGGTAGGAAGAATCAATATCGTGAAAATGGCCATACTGCCCAAGGTAATTTATAGATTCAATGCCAACCCCATCAAGCTACCAATGACTTTCCTCACAGAATTGGAAAAAACTGCTTTAAAATTCATATGGAACCAAAAAAGAGCCCACAACGCCAAGTCAGTCCTAAGCCAAAAGAACAAAGCTGGAGGCATCACACTACCTGACTTCAAACTATACTACAAGGATACAGTAACCAAAACAGCATGGTACTGGTACCAAAACAGAGATATAGACCAATGGAACGGAATAGAGCCCTCAGAATTAAAGCCACATATATACAACTATCTGATCTTTGACAAACCTGACAAAAACAAGCAACAGGGAAAGGATTCCCTATTTAATAAATGGTGCTGGGAAAACTGGCTAGCCATATGTACAAAGCTGAAGCTGGATCCCTTCCTTACACCTTATACAAAAATTAATTCAAGATGGATTAAAGACTTAAATGTTAGACCTAAAACCACAAAAACCCTAGAAGAAAACCTAGGCAATACCATTCAGGGCATAGGCATGAGCAAGGACTTCATGTCTAAAACACCAAAAGCAATGGCAACAAAAGACAAAATTGACAAATGGGATCTAATTAAACTAAAGAGCTTCTGCACAGCAAAAGAAACTACCATCAGAGTGAACAGGCAACCTACAGAATGGGAGAAAATTTTTGCAACCTACTCATCTGACAAAGGGCTAATATCCAGACTCTACAATGAACTCAAACAAATTTACAAGAAAAAAACAAACAACCCCATCAACAAGTGGGCGAAGGACATGAACAGACACTTCTCAAAACAAGACATTTATGCAGCCAAAAGACACATGAAAAAATGCTCATCATCACTGGCCATCAGAGAAATGCAAATCAAAACCACAATGAGATACGATCTCACACCAGTTAGAATGGCGATCATTAAAAAGTCAGGAAACAACAGGTGCTGGAGAGGATGTGGAGAAATAGAAACACTTTTACACTGTTGGTGGGACTGTAAACTAGTTCAACCATTGTGGAAGTCAGTGTGGGATTCCTCGGGGATCTAGAACTAGAAATACCATTTGACCCAGCCATCCCATTACTGGGTATATACCCAAAGGATTATAAATCATGCTGCTATAAAGACACATGCACACGTATGTTTATAGCGGCACTATTCACAATAGCAAAGACTTGGAACCAACCTAAATGTCCAACAACGATAGTCTGGTTTAAGAAAATGTGGCACATATACACCATGGAATACTATGCAGCCATAAAACATTATGAGTTCATGTCCTTTGTAGGTACATGGATGAAACTGGAAACCATCATTCTCAGCAAACTATCACAAGGACAAAAACCAAACACCGCCTGTTCTCCCTCATAGGTGAGAATTGAACAATGAGAACACACGGACACAGGAAGGGAAACATCACACACCGGGGACTGTTGTGGGGTGGGGGAATTGGGGAGGGATAGCATTAGGAGATATACCTAATGCTAAATGACGAGTTAATGGGTGCAGCACACCAACATGGCACATGTATACATATGTAACAAACCTGCACGTTGTGCACATGTACCCTAAAACTTAAAGTATAATAATAATAAAATTAAAAAAAAAACAAAAAGAAATTGCCAGCAGCCATCAACATCCAGGCAAAACCCTCCACCAGCTAAAAGATTGAAACTCACTGAAGTTTCACTTGATCGTTAGCATCTTTTAGCAATAAAGTATTTTTAAATTAAAAAAAACTGACAATGTAAATAAAATTATTTTAATGTAAAACACACTCAAAAGATATTATATTTAGTGAATTTTATTTTCAGAGTAAAAGTTGCAAGTAGCAACTAACTACAGAAAATTAAGTTTAAGAGATGAATACAGAAAATCAATTGTGAAGCATACACATTTTTTGAGATGTTTACTTCATTTATATATTTAGAATACATACAACTGTAGTCATCGTTATCATCAGAGAAAGCGTTTTGACAGGTATTTTCCAGAAATAAGAAAATACATGGGATAATTAGTGGATCAGAGAACATTTCTGTGTGCTAATATAACCAAACAATTTTACAGTGCACTAGTTCACAACTCTTTTACTTTAAACCGAATTTTATTAATTTCTAGCCTCTTTGAAAGCCACTATGAATATAGTGTAAAAATTATACACATCATTGTTGATGTTGAGATCTAATATTTTAAGATCCTGCCAGAAACAAATCTTTGTCATTAAAGTAGACTATGTATATTCTCTGAGACTTTCCCTTTCTCTTACCAAGGTGACATGCGTAAGGCATTTGTTGCATGATTTAATTAGTTTGGATCCAATAAGTAAATTCCTCTTACCTATCCCCTTTCTTTTCCAAATCATCTAATGCAACCTTGCTCTACCTGACCTGCAGTTTTCAATGGAAGTTAGAAGATCCAAGTGGTCTGGGCTTTCTTACTGGCTCAACATGAAATATGGGTAAATTGGTCCCTTTTCCTTTGCAGAATGTTATATAGTTCAGAATAATATCAAACTGTTTGTGCAGAACTGAGGAATAATTTGAGGCTGTTTCAATAGAGTCATTCTTTTCTGTTCCCTGACATTTTGGTTCTTCCTATCTCATAGTAAATACAGCAAGTAAAGTCACTTAATAAGTGTAAGGCCTGAGGTATTCTTGAAAATAGCAGATGCCATTCTCTCCCATATCTTTTTTCACCTTTTCTTAGACTTACAACTTCTCTACCGCTTTGACTTAAAAATCAAAAGATTTACCTATGAGACTTTAAGCAAGTCATTTAATGTTATTCGGTGTCTGTGTAAGAAAAATAGTATTAAATGGCTAGATTACAGAGTTCTTAGGAAAACTTAATTGAATTATGTACCTGAAAACACTTTATAAATTGTAAAGAATTCAATAAGTTGGTAATACCATAAATGGTTCTTTTCTTTGTGATTTCTTTATTGTTCCATGATAAAAGCATTATTTTTATAGACTGTTTCACATTTCTTTTGCATAACACCTATATATTACAAAGCCATTCAACATTTCACTCATGTATGAGACTGTACGCAGGATATGACATTTCATTCAGAAGTACTGAATGAAACAATGCAACCATTGTCTAATCCTGTTTTTTCACTTTAGCAAATTGCTTATTGAGAAAAATGACTTCACATGAAAAATGACTAGACTTTTATCAGTTATGCTTCCACAAAGAATATTTAAAAAGCAGTCTTTTAAAAAATGGTGTGGGTTATTTATAACTTCCTGTATTCCTTTCATCTTAATGGCAACGCAATATATGATATTTTATAACCCCTGTAATTTCCATTATCAGTCTGCAACTCTGCATTTCTTTCTTTGTTAACTCATATATTTTCAAATTATTTATTCCTCCCAAGGTATAGTCATGCAGTTGAAAGAAAATAATAATGTTGAGGCTGAGCATGAGTAAAAGTGGTTCAGTAAAAGGCACATAAATCTCCCCTTTTCCTACCCATGTCTTGAATTAGAGTATCACCAAGTTTTAGAACAACTTTTGAAAATAATAAAGGATAATTTCTGTGAATTAAGGGTCCATCTTGCAGACTAAAATGTCATTTCTTTTCTACCTTGCTAATGTTAGTTCTTCTTCATTCTCTATTCCAAGGAGTGTTTAACTGTGTTTTAAATAATCCTGTTTTGTCATTTGTTTGAAGTTTTCCATGAAAGCTTGACTTCCTCTTTTTTGGATTTTTATTTGTTTTCAGAAATTAAGCATTTCACATGGATTTCTTTTGATAATAACATTTTGGATATCTTTATTTTTAAGATTATTGTTTCTATAAACTTCCCTAGCCTTTATTTTGTTTCTTTCTACAACAACTGCTTTATTTGATTATTTTAATTTATGATCCATGCTCTTAAAGATCACCATCTTCAAACTTACTTCCTTGAGAACTTTCCAGTTTCACAGATTGTATTTATAAGACTATAATTGGCACTCTAAAATTATCTAATAATACTATTATAATGCCCAACTACAGGGTGTTCAAAAAGTATTGGATCCTAGAATTGTTTCTGTGTGTAGCTATTCTTTGAAAGTAAAGCTCTGTCTGTACACCGACAATGAACTGAGTCTAGAACATAAATAAATTAGTTTAATTCACAATTTATTATCTTCATAAAAGAGAGCTATATATTTCTATCAATAGCACTAACTCACATTTGACTATTCTTAGCATTGTGATGTCCTCCCTCCTTGCATGAAGCTAACATAATTTTCCAGTTACATATGCTGTCTAAGTGTTTATGTACATGCCTAAATCCAGTTTATTTTTTCAAATTTATAACAAACTACCAATGTATAGGAGAACAGAATACAATAAAAACACATAAGGAAACTAGCTAATTTCATACATATTAAGGTATCCAAAGTACATCATAAACTTTCAGGTAGAGGAAATAACTCTTACAGGAAGTGGATTGCACAAAGAATATGAAAGTAGTTAAGCATTGTAGAACAGCATGAAGAAGAGGAAGATCATTGGATTTCAATGGACTAACATCTATCACGAGCAAGACGTTCAACTAGAAAATAAAGTGGATGTAAAGATGAGGAAGATACTGCCTTTGTTCCTAAGAAACTCACAAGAACATACAGAGGTGCCTCAATACATTGCATTGCATGTTGTACTGTAATGAAATCTAATGTAGAGGAACAAGACAAGTGCTTTATAAACAGGGAGAAGGAAAAAACTAATTATGACCTGGGACATCAGAAAAGGCTGGAGTTGTGTGAATGGATAAGACTCTCACTAGCAGAATGGAAGAGATATTCCATTCAAAGACAATGGTGTGAACATGGAGACGAAACTTATGATACAACATACAGTGCATATTTAAGAATGATGAGAAATCTTGTGTGCCTAGAAAATAGTATGTGATTAACACAAATTTAGATCAGATTATGAGGAAAAGCTTAAATAACATTCAATCATAATATGAGTTTCTATATGTAATGTGGATTGAAAGACTTTAAAACAAGAATGTTAGTGGTCAGATTATGATTTAAAAATACAAATCTGGGGTCACATAGGTGGATTGAATGAGACACCATGAAAAGAGAATGTACTAAAGAGACAATTATATTGATCTAAATAAGAGATAATGACAGCTTCAATAAGAAAAGGAGCAAGAAATATAGCAATAGAGTAATTGATTTATCAGTTGATTTTAAATTAAGAAAGAACAAAAGAACAGGTTTAAAAGTGACTCTAAAATTTCATAGCTTAAGGACCCCGATGGGCAACTGAGGATGCATGGGACATAAGAAAAAACAATTTTGGATGCTATTGTTAGTTATCGTGTTCTTTTCTTCCACCAAATGCTGAAGCTATGAATGTCTTTGAGTTCCCAATAAGATTGTACTAAAGTATTCCTGGCTCAATCTTTACCGGGATGTGTTTGCAAGTAGCTCCAGTGTCCCATTTCCACTAATCTCTTAAATAAAAGCATGAACTCCCCCTCACAGACTCAGGAACTATAGTCTTTTGCATAGATGGCACACTCCCATTTTGCTCCTTGAACTTAATTTGATGCCAGTTACTCCAAGCATATGAAACATCACTCTCAAATGTTTATTTTAAAAATTACTAGAGTCATTACTATGTCTGCTAGGTCTTCTATCTTTTTCCCTTAACTTACTCTATCTAGAATCTTGACTTATTATCAAAATTTTAATATAATAGTACAGTCCTGAATTCAACCTCAGGACCTTAATGCCATTATATGTATTTTTTATTCTTACTTTTTTTCTCAGAATTAGTTTTTTTCCTATTTTGAATACGATTAACTTTTTCTAATCCCAGTCTCTGAGATTTGCCTACCATTTTAGTAAGTGTCCAGTCTGATGAGTGATATATAGGTGTTTTAGGACTTGTTAAAAGAGAGATGAATTATAAGTGTCAAACATGTTTAGCTATTATTTTTAGTGGCATTACTTTTAATGGCAACAATGATTTCTTTTCATGGCAAAAACTGCAATTACTTTTGCACCAAACTAACAGTTTACTTCTCTGGAGTTAGTCTAAGTGTCTGTCAGTATCTGTCCCGTTTTTGTGGTTGTCATTCCAGGTGCTACATAAAATATTTTTCTTCCCTAGTATCGGAATATGCCTTGAGATTTTACAGATTTTATAGGAAAAATGGTAAATTAAGTTGGGGGTCTATTGATTACAAGCAGAAATAGAAGATTAACATAGCGTTGCCCAGCTGGAAGTTGGATTTATGGTAAGAGAGCAATAATGTGATTATTATAAACTAGATATTAATGGGCTTATTTTTCAAGATGCTAAACTTGCCACATTCATTTCACTACTTTTCTAGACACCACTAAAATGATCATAAAGGAATTTTTGAAAAATATAAACCTATCAATCAGGTCAAATACTGGGAAAAAGGACAACAGAAGATAACATTTTGAAAGGCTGCTTTATACCCAAAAATGTGAATGAAGGAATAATGGCACAATACAGTCATGCATCACTTTCCCAGTGAGAATACTCTCTAAGAAATGTATTGTTAGGCCATTTCGTCATTGTGCAAGCGTCAAAGCGTATACTTAGAAAAACAGATGATAGCCTGCTACACACTTAGGCTATATGGTATAACTTATTCTTCCTAGGCTACAAACCTGTACAACACATTATTGTACTCAATACTGTAGGCAATTGTAACATAGTGATAAGCATTTGTGTATCTAAACATACTGAAAGATAGAAAAGGTACAGTAACAATATGGTATTATAATCTTATAGTACCACTGACTTATATGTGGTATGTCATTGACCACCATCATTCTGCAGCACATGCCTGTATTTAGAAGTTGACATAAAAAAGAGAAAATTTCTTTCATAAATCATGCACATAATATATGCCCCCAAATCTCTAGTGTAAAGCAAGAATATTGGAATTTAATTCCTGAAAACACTAAAATAGGAAGACTTAGAATTTAGAAACATTTGGGTGTGCAAGAAAGTAATGTTGAGAAGCAGGCCTGATTGAAAAAAGATGCCTTGGAAGTCCAGAGATGTACAAATTCATAGGAATTGCCAGACAGATTACAGATGTCCAAAATAAGATAACAGACTTAAGTGATTAATTCAGAAGGTCTAAATTTAAGTACTTGGGACTTCCAGGAAGGGACACAAGAGTAAATAGAAGGAGAAAATTTATCAGACACAACATGGGAAAATTTTCCAGAATTGAAGAATATGAGTTTCCATAATAAAATAATCCATGGGGTATCAGACAAGTATGAAATTATTAACACGAGGGCACAGCATTACACATTTTCTAAGATAAAGGGAAAAAGAGAAAAGACTGATAAGTACATAACTGATAAACAAATACTCTAAAATCTGAAGAGATTAAAACAGGGCACAAATACAAGCATTAGGAAAAAAATGGCATTGGGCTTCTCAATAACAATACTGGGCCCTAAAGGACAATGAAAGAGTAACTTTACATTATCCTGACTAAATATTATACAACTTCCAATCTAGGAACCTGA
This sequence comes from Homo sapiens, assembly GCF_000001405.40. NCBI lineage: Eukaryota > Metazoa > Chordata > Mammalia > Primates > Hominidae > Homo > Homo sapiens. The sequence goes on along the minus strand of NC_000004.12, from coordinate 137,588,327 downwards.
ATTCCAACATAGTCAGCACAACTTTCAAACTATGTGAGAGTGGAATAGATTTTCATATACGCAGTAACTCAGAAAATTAAATCTCTGATTAGGAATCTAACTGAGAAAATGTGTTTCATATTCTAATACTGGAAGCCAGCTTGATTTCATCTGTGGGCCAAATCAATGCTTCCCTGTATCCATACCCAAACCTAGTTTGCACTTGGCTATGTGACTTTCTTTGAACAATGGGATAACAGTAACTGTGATGCAAGCAGGGCTTTGAAAGACTGCTTGCACATTTTCCCATCCTCTTGCTTCTGTAAAATGCCATTAGAGTGTGTCATGAGAATAGGAATTGGCTGCTACGAGAGATTTCAGTATGTAAGAGATGTGTGAAGGGTAGCTGAGACACCTAGCAGAGGCCACACCAGACCACCATGCCCCAAGCTGACCTACCAGCTAAACATAAATATATGAGTGAGTCCAGCCAAGATCAGTCAAGTCCATCCCAACCAGTGGTCAGCTCAGCCAACCCACAGCCTGGAGAAGAATTGTTAACAACTTATTAAAAAGATTTTACACAACTAAATCACTAAATTTTGGAATAGTTTTATATTTATTTGATGCAATGTCAAAACAAGAAGGAGTAAGTAGTATGTATATACTGCAAAAGGGTGGTTAATTAAGAGAAATTAAAACTAAAATATGTTAGGCTATGGGGAATGAACTGATGGGTGGGATTGGTATATTTTCTTTCATTATAGGCTTTTAGTAGCAAGTGATTTTTTTAAACCCATGAACACATTTGACATTTTTAAAGTGATGACAGATTAGGTTCTACACAGAATTTTATGTCAAAGGAGTTTTGTTGTTTGTATTTCTGTTTTGTTAGTTTTGAATGAGAGAGGAAAATAAGAAGTCAAGGAAAATACTTGGATTAAGGGAGGTGACTATAAATGCTGTCTTGTAGCCTGAAAATATGAGGGTACAGAATAATAACTAGCTGACAGGGACCCACTATCCCTCAGGAATATGGACAGGTTTCTACTGGGGCAAAGACTGAAATTGATTTAGTTTGTACTCTAGGAAACCGAGCTTCCTGGGAAGCACAGATCATGGTGGGTAAGGGAGTTTTGGAGACAAAATTTGACAGTAAGGGACTGTATTTTTGCCTTTGACTGAGGAACTAGGCATGAAAGATATGATAAACTTAACTGGCTTGCCAATCCTCAACACATCTCTCTTTAAAGTATTTTTGTGGGTATGTGAGAATTACTTGAAAATCCCAGGTTCTTCTGCGCCTGGATTTCTGCAAAAATTTTTATGAAGAAAGAGTTAACCATGCCAAAGTTAATTTTAGCTCAGATTCTAATTTCAGTATTACATATAATACTGATTCTGAATTAATTAGCTGGTGTTTAGACATGAATGCATGAATTACAGCTGTTATCCAAGAAAAAATGTTTCTTTTAAGATAGTGAAAATGGAAGCTTTTCCTTTATCTGAAGAGTATATGGGAAGAAAATACATGATTGGAAATTCAAACATATCATTTCAGAAAGCAAATTTAGGCTTCAAAGTCTCATTTAACTAAAGGATAAAGCTTTTAAGTATAGTGTGATGTAAATGTGCCGAAGTAAATCATTGTGCTTTGATGGAACAAAGATTATCATTTAAAGTAAACTTGTTTCTCCTTCTGTATGAAACAGACATTACAACAAGAGATAAATAAGCTAACAACACGGTCATTATATGAGAACAAAAATGTTCAGTGATACTCTAATTAATGAGAATATATTAATAATAACTTCAAGTATGTCAGCCCCCTATAACTTCCTTTAGTTTCCCTCAAATACACAAAGAAGCCTTCAATTTGAGTAAGAATAGGAAAACACAAGTTTACAAGAAACCAACTATTCTCTATTGTCCACATTCCTATCCTCAGCCACCTCACACAGATGCTAAATAAGATATTTTTCTGCCGCTCAGCTCATTTCCAATCACATCGTGAGCCCCCAATCTCCTATATTTATGTATGTATGTATTCAAACCACCACTAATCTCTTATCTACATTTGATAGCCTATATAATTCAAGTTGATCTCATATAAATTTTTTAAATAGCCGATGCTCTTCAATAAATAACACTTTGGCAATATGGTATCAAGCAGTTACACAGAGAAAGTAAGGCAGTGTGAGTGACTGCACCACTTTGTAACAAATATCTGCTTATATGTGATTTCCCGTGAGAACAATGTAAAGAACTGTGATGAATATTTGTTTTATCAGTAAGATGCTTAATGAGATTCCCTACTCCTGCAAGTTACAGTGGATGCTACAGACAGAATTCAACTAAAACGTGTATTATTTACTACTGAGAGAGAGTAAAAGACCTGAGCGAAGTTAAGAGGTAACAGATGACTCAGAACACGTCTCAAACCAACAAAACTCATCTAAGAAATGCATAAACTTAAATATAAAATAAGACATAGTAAAAAAAAATTAAGGTTAGAATAATACACAAATCTCAAATTTGCTTAAACTATACTTGAATTTAACATAAATGAGATGCTTCAATCATTAGTGTGTTGAGAATTTTTTATTTTGATTATACCTTAATTATGTGTATGCTCATGAGGCAAAAGTGAACCATTATTATATTATCATGTGAAGGACCTTCTCAAGATCCTTGTTTTCTTGTATAGTTACCATCCTGGATATAATCAAAGTTATTGGATATTTCAAACTGAATTTTCACATTTTTCAATGTTCATGAGCTGTTGATAAACTGCTATTTGATGACACCTACTTCTAAATGAGCTCATAACAGAGTTGTTTAATAAGAACTATAATGAGACAGAGATTAATCGTTTTAGGTGAATCGTGGGCTTGGTTGACCTTCTTAATAAAAAACGTGTTAAAATTACTTTAACGTTTGGCAAGCCTGGCTAGTGAGCCATCATTGTGCTGTGTTGCTTGGTTATGTGAGTGTGTGCATATATGCTTGTGGGAGGATGGGGGTTGTCAAAAGAGCAAAACTCAGCTGTAATCTTAGCATACTCTCAATCTATAAGAGGGGACGTTTTGAATCAAAAGTAAGAATTTATATATATTGAAATTTTAAAAGTGAACACATTTAACTTAATTGAAAATTCTCCATACTGTCCTTAGTTTTCCAGTTTTACCACAGACCAGTGAATACTTGGTCTACACAGTGGTGCAGAGGCAAGTGCAGATCAACGACCATGTTTGAACTGGTCTCTTCACCAAATGGCAGAGAAATAAGCTCTGATGACAAATGACTATAAACTGAGTAGACAGTCTAATTCTATCACAAAGTGCCACTGTCACTCTGCACAGGTAGAATTGGTGATCAGTTAGTCTGATGAGCAGCTTTATTACATATATGACCCCATTTTGGAAAAAAAAAGAAAAAGAAAAACCTTGTAAGATTTAATATGGTAATGGGAGTGAAGTAATGAAAGTCATTATTAATGGGGGAAGTGGCAGAAATATCACACAAGGAATCCTCTAAACCACTGTTTTATAAGCTAAAGCACTTTTTAAAAAAATCACACCATTTAAAAGTATACCCAAATGAGCTCTTATTTCTGAGAATGTTATCTTACATTTCTATTAGAAATTCCTGACTTTCTCTCCCCTGTTTTTACATATTTAGATCAAAAGTCTATGATCTGTGTGAACTACAAAACATCTATGTTCACATAGAGTTCAATGACAAAGAGGAATTTTGTGAATTCCTTTAGGCTTGAACAGCTTAAGGTCAAAGGAAAAGGCTAAAGGAACTAATTTATATGGGATTATTTTATGTAAAAGAAAACAAACTAATACAAACTCTTATTGTTTGTTCATTCAGATTTAATAATTCCCACCCACCATTTCCTTACAATAATAATTTCTGTTTTTTTCTTTAGTTTTTATCTGTTCTATCTTTTCCAAAGTTGAGTATTGACAATTTTTAAAATGATTAAGTCATTGTTAAAACATGGGGCTTTTAATATTTATATTGAGATATCCCTCTTCTTCTTGACCTAGATTTATTTGATATTTTCAAATATGTCTTATGCATAGATGGAATATTAAAAGATTATATCATCTGTTTCTCTCATATCAAAGTGTATGTATTAACTTACAAATTTCTAGAAGGGGAGAAAATAAGCAAGCTCACAAAGATGGGGAAGAGTCTACTAACACATGCCATAAAAGAGCATTTTAGTGATTTATTAGAAATTGAAAGCTGTTCTTTCTCTCGTAGTCTTAGGATTTATCTTTCTCTAGAATTAATTAAGTTTTCTGTACAGAAAAGACAAAGTTGAGAACCCAAGAATCTGTTGAAAATGGGAAAAAAATTAAAACTGCTTTTTTCTTGCTTGCTCTCAAAATATATTTCTTCTGCCTGAGTTGACTCAAGTTTAGCAAATGAAAACTTAATAGAGATCAGAGAGCACAATATGTCTTCACAAGTGTTTACAGAACAAATTGCTCCATTTCCACAGCTGGAAATAAGAGTTCAGAGGGACTCCAAATGTCAGAAAACTTACAAAATGGAGGCACTTTTACAAATTCAGGATTTTTTGTATATTGAGTAATCTCAAGATTTTTCTCATTTCCCCTACTGATTTCATTGTATTCACATATTATTAATACTCCAATAGAAAAATTAAGCATATATTGAGATATGTCAACTTAAAAAAAACTGACAGGGTATGTAATATTTAAACTATTAGGTATCTTTTTGTATCCTTTAAATTGCCTTTATAATTAGGATAATGTTCAAATAGCCTTAAAATAATTTTAGTAGTAAGAGTTTTATATTAATAATCGTGTTTAGAAAATAAGCCAATGCAGTCAAAATGATAAACACTATTATTATAAAATTGTCTACGTAATGTAAGCTATTTATGATATATCAGGTGTGGTAAATACATTTAAGGTAATGTAACAAATAATATGCTTGAGAATTAAGTTAAAAAGGAATGTGAGGCTGTCTCTCTTTTTTTTAAAGGAATGAGCTCAAAGATTGATAACCAATACCTGATATGGGAGAGAAGTAACAGCACTTCTGCTTCTTGTCATTCCTGATATAAAGTTAAGTTTAGAATGATTTATTACATTGAAAGTAAACTATATATGATCAGTTTCTATTCAAAAGTTTTCTGTATTTGACACTATATTTTCAATGTCTTCCTTTAACTGGTGCTTTTCTCTGTGTCTTCAAATATTTATTGATTCAGCATTCAAGGGAAAATTTTATTCACCTACACCCATAACCCATCCTGGAATTTTTCATTAGCTGTAACTCCTCTGCCTTCAAAAAATGTAGTGTAATCCATCCTAACCATTCTCTAGCTCAGTTACATCTAAGGTTATTCTTTGTCTTCATGAATGCTACACATCTTGATTGCCATGTTTCATACCATTCTATCAGCCCTCTATGATAGCCATACTTCTTCCCATATAGCTTAGATGCTCTCATTTTAGATCTCTCATTTTAGCCATGAGATTGCCACAGAGAATAAAGGCTATCAGAATGGCTGTTTCCTTTTCCATGATTCTGTCACTTCCTTCAACTTCAACATTTTGCTTATTTACACCAATCCTTTTGCCTTGCTCTTCTGACCCACAAGAGGATGCATCCATCTTTACAGCCTGTTTCTCTAACTGTGCTTTAGATCCCATTTCTTCCAGCTTCTTCATCATCATATTCTGTGAATTTTCCTACTCTTCCTTGTCTTCAGCTCCACCAACATATTGCCCTCAGGAAACAAGCAGTCTCAAATCTACTCCCTCTTAAAACTTAAACTACAGAAATTTACCTCCCTAAATTTTAATCTTGTAATAGGCCTGTCTCTTTCCCTACTTTCTCAGGCAAAATTCTCTAAAGTGGGGTTTATATTATCTGATATAGATAGTCTACCATGATATTGAAAGAAACAGGCTTTGAAATCAGTGTGGGCTGGAATCCTGTTCAACCAATTCCTTGTCATATAACACTGGGCAAGTTATTTAAATTATCTTTGAAACTTTCCATATCTGTAAAAAGAGATAACACATGTTCATCATAGATATGTGAGGATGAAATAATTTAAATTTAGTAAGGGTTGTAGTATATATGAGTGGTGGTTTGGTATTGATCAGGCGATTCTTCCTTATTAACAATTTCCATATATTTTGTCTACTTCCAGCAGTGCCATAGGTGAGCCTTTTATCATTTCTCACCTAGATTATTTAACAACTTCCTAATTTATATTATTTCCCATTACCAACTTGTTCCAATTCATTTCTTCACCAAATGTCAGAGAATTTATTATTTTCAAAAGAAATCTTTCCTTGGTATGGCCTGGTGAACACTTTCAAGACTCTCATTACGAAGCAACGTTTCAAAAGTTTTATCTAATAAATAATATCTAATAAATTTGAGGCAAATAGCCTCAAAAATCACCTGAGTTATTTGCTAAAAATGAATATGCCAAAGCCTTACCTACTGAATCAGGATCTTTAGGCAATTGTTATGTAATATTGCATTAAAGATTTGATTCTCATTTGCTTTGCATTAAATATAAGACTCATTATTATCTGGCCACTACTCCTCTTGAATATGATATTGCACCATACCAAAATGTTCTTGAAGTTCCCCAAACATAGAACATTCTGACATATTGTACTGCCTTTGTATGGCACTCCAGCAACCTGGAATATTCCCACCTTTATTTACTTAATTTTGCAAGATTCCCCAGCTTCAGGAAATTTCTATTGACCATCAACTTCCATCTCTCTTTTTCCACCTTTATGTGGGTTCAAGGGCCTGTATACATCTTATGCTTATATTTATCATTATATTTTTCACTTTAGAGTCTTTCTTTCCTATTAAATGTGATTTGATGGAAGAGACAAAATCATATCATATTGTATTGTTTACAATAAAAACTGCATATTTGTCTCTTTATCAATCAAAGTTATTTATATATACATCTACTTATGTAGTTGTCTATGTGTCTATTTATTTATATAATTATTTGTCTGTTCATAGTTATGTTACAGTAAGATCAATTAGTTCATATGACTGTATCAAATACATAATAAATTTATCATCTATGTAAAGTGGAATGAACAAAGAAAGTGAGACAACTTTACAGAAGATAATGTATATCCAGTTCTAAATCTAATGGTGCCTTCCATAATGACTTACATACCTACATTATGACAAAGGAAATTTGTCCTTTCCGAAATAGCCTGTTGATGAGAAACAATGTTTGAAAGAAAATTAATATAATCAGATTTCTCAGTGAGAACTCTCCTAGAGCTCAGAAATGATGAAATAATAAAGAACATCATTTGCAATAAGATTGTTACTAAACTGTGCCATGTTTTTACAGACGTCAGCTATTCTGGGCTGGGCACAGTGGCTCATGCCTGTAATCCTAGCACATTAAGAGGTCAACATTGGGGCATCACTTGAGGTCAGGAATTTGAGACCAGCCTGGCCAACTTGGTGAAACCCCATCTCTACTAAAAATACAAAAATTAGCTGACTGTGGTGGCAGGGGCCTGTAATCCCAGTTACTCGAGAGGCTGAGGCAGGAAAAATCACTTGAACCTAGGAGGTGGAGGTTGCAGTGAGCCAAGATCGTGCCACTACACTCCAGCCTGGGCGACAGAGCCAGACTGTCTCAAAAACAAAAAAACAAACAAACAAACAAACAAAAATCACAGAATTGGAAAAAAACTACTTTAAAGTTCATATGGAACCAAAAAAGAGCCTGCATTGCCAAGTCAATCCTAAGCCAAAGGAACAAAGCTGGAGGCATCATGCTACCTGACTTCAAACTATACTACAAGGATACAGTAACCAAAACAGCATGGTACTGGTACCAAAACAGAGATATAGACCAATGGAACAGAATAGAGCCCTCATAAATAATGCCGCATATAAACAACTATCTGATCTTTGACAAACCTGACAAAAAAAAGCAACGGGGAAAGGAGTCCCTATTTAATAAATGGTGCTGGGAAATCTGGCTAGCCATATGTAGAAAGCTGAAACTGGATCCCTTCCTTACACCTTATACAAAAATTAATTCAAGATGGATTAAAGACTTAAATGTTATACCTAAAACCATAAAAACCCTAGAAGAAAACCTAGGCAATACCATTCAGGACACAGGCATGGGCAAGGACTTCATGTCTAAAACACCAAAAGCAATGGCAACAAAAACCAAAATTGACAAATGGGATCTAATTAAACTAAAGAGCTTCTGCACAGCAAAAGAAACTACCATCAGAGTGAACAGGCAACCTACAGAATGGGAGAAAATTTTTGCAACCTACTCATCTGACAAAGGGCTAATATCCAGAATCTACAATGAACTCAAACAAATTTACAAGAAAAAAACAAACAACCCCATCAACAAGTGGGCAAAGGATATGAACAGACACTTCTCAAAAGAAAATATTTATGCAGCCAAAAGACACATGAAAAAATGCTCATCATCACTGGCCATCAGAGAAATGCAAATCAAAACCACAATGAGATACCATCTCACACCAGTTAGAATGGCGATCATTAAAAAGTCAGGAAACAGGTGCTGGAGAGGATGTGGAGAAATAGGAACACTTTTACACTGTTAGTGGGACTGTAAACTAGTTCAACCATTGTGGAAGTCAGTGTGGGATTCCTCGGGGATCTAGAACTAGAAATACCATTTGACCCAGCCATCCCATTACTGGGTATATACCCAAAGGATTATAAATCATGCTGCTATAAAGACACATGCACACGTATGTTTATAGCGGCACTATTCACAATAGCAAAGACTTGGAACCAACCCAAATGTCCAACAACGACAGACTGGATTAAGAAAATGTGGCACATATACACCATGGAATACTATGCAGCCATAAAAAAGGATGAGTTCATGTCCTTTGTAGGTACATGGATGAAGCTAGAAACCATCATTCTCAGCAAACTATCTCAAGGACAAAAAACCAAACACCACATGTTCTCACTCATAGGTGGGAATTGAACAATGAGAACACATGGACACAGGAAGGGGAACATCACACACCGGGCCTGTTGTGGGGTGGGGGGAGGGGGGAGGGATAGCATTAGGAGATATACCTAATGTTAAATGACGAGTTAATGGGTATAGCACACCAACATGGCATATGTATACATATGTAACAAACCTGCATGTTGTACACATGTACCCTAAAACTTAAAGTATAATAATAATAATAAAAATTCTACATTACACACTAGTTTGATGGAGCCAATTGATTGAGGCTTGTTTAAATAATTTGGAAAGAAGTAATTTCATCCAGTTTAGGCCCAGCCTCTAAAATACCTTCCATGAGACCTCCCATGCTTGCTCTCCTTTCTCTCTAGTCCTGATGCACAGGGTCTGGTGGAGAACTCTGAGGACCTTATAGTGGGAGAGCCACTAGATAGAATGACCTTGAGTCTCTCAATCACCACACAGAGGATTGTGCAAGTAGACTGAGATGGAAGACATAAAGTTCCACCGCATTAAACAACTAAAAAAGTATTTGCTTTTGTTTTTAATTTTATAGCAATTAGCCTATAATAGCTAACCAGAGTAGATCCTTCAGTGAGTTTCTTAAGATTTTTGTTTTTACAATAACTCTTGCCTTTTGATAAATATTGTTTGACTGTGAATCAGTGGTTGCCCCTGAGTTTAAATAAAATAGTGAATTAATTTAATACCTCTACCTTTAAGGTGTGTGTGTGTGTGTGTGTGTGTGTGTGTGTGTGTGTGGCTATTGGTATAAGAGTAAAGAAAAAAAGATGGAGGATAAAATAGAGGTCAAAAATCTTTCACATATGAAGATGAAACACCTGCTTTACACTGATTTAATAACAGAATTTTAGGCTGGGTGCGGTGGCTCACGCCTGTAATCCCAGCATTTTGGGAGGCCAAGGCAGGTGGATCAGGAGGTCAGGAGATCGAGACCATCCTGGCTAACACGGTGAAACCCCGTCTCTACTAAAAATACAAAAAATTAGCCAGGCGTGGTGGTGGACGCCTGTAGTCCCAGCTACTCGGGAGGCTGAGGCGGGAGAATGACATAACCAGAGAGGTGGAGCTTGCAGTGAACCGAGATCGCGCCACTGCACTCCAGCCTGGGCGACAGAGTGAGACTCTGTCTCAAACAAACAAACAAACAAACAAAACCCAGAATTTTAGGAATGGTTTTCTCTACTTTAAAACTGTAGCATTAATCTTTCTGTTAATTCTGATTTCAGCTGTATTATTATTTTTAGACAGAGTCTCACTCTGTTGCCCAGGTTAGAGTGCAGTGGGTGCTCCCAGGTTCAAGCAATCCTCGTGCCGCAGCCACCTGAGTATCTCGGATTACAAGCGTGTGCTACCACTCCCGGCCTCAACTGTGTTCTTGGTGTAAGCTCTAAAATGCTCTGAAGATATAGAGCGACATTAGATATAAATCTAGCTAGTGATTGGAGAAAATCAGGTTTCTCTTCTGTTGTAATCCTAATGGTATTATAGACATTTATATAATGGGGGAAAATCTTAGAAACAGCAATATCTTTATGTCACTTTTGTCTGAAATAGCTTTACAAGGTGACTTGTGTGTTTTGGAGGACACTGGCAACTTGAAGCACATACAGAAACGCAGTTCTCACATATTCAGTGTAAATGCATTCGAATCAGGAATGAAATCATTGACAAGTAATCCTTTTAAGGATTAGTGATTGGGTGAAATGTCAGTGAAGACTACATTTTATATTCTTTTTCAAAACATTTTCACCTTTAACCAAACGAAGATTGAGAAGAAAAAGAAAAAAAAAAACCACTTGCATTATAATCATCACCTCTTTCACCAAACTTAATGCTGTAATTCTCTTACCATTCAGATTTTCTCATGAGATTTTGAGTACTTTGTGTTTACTGTTAATAATCTGGAGTGTGTGACAGGAAGTTCTTTCCAGTTCTTCCCGCTATTCTTTTTCTCCTACAGATGCTAAGGAAAGGTGTAGGCGTGTGAAAGTAAAAACTAATGGGAAACAAAGGGTAATAAATATTTGCTATGTTTCAAGTAAAGGATTGGATCCATTTTTCAGTTCATTCTATAAAAATCCCACTGGTCCTTAGAGATTTTAAAATAACCCAGCTGCAAGGTTCAAAGCAACGACAGGAAATCACAATGCATAACACAAGTTTACATAATGAGATCCGGTATCTTATCATCTTCTTCATTTATCAAAATAGAAAAATAATACTATAGCTTTTTTTTTAATCCTTTAAATAAGTGCTATGGCTTCAATTGTTTCATTAGGCCAAAGAAAAGTTGTATCTATAAAGTTGTGAAAGCAGTGTCCATAGACTATCCACAGAAAGCAGTCTTAGTCTCACTGCCCTAGCCTAAGGGAAAAAAAAACATAGGTACAAGTTACCCTACTTGCCTATTTTAAATACCAAGTATGGTCACTACCTTACCAGTCTTTCTCTTATTTGCATGCATGCATCTTGGCCTTCATTTCATTAAGCTGTCAGTGTCAGGCTAAAAGAAACTTTTCCTTTATCTGAGCTGATAGATAGTAGTGCAGCTTGTTCCCTTGTGTCTGCATCTTTCAGTGAGGAAGCATGATTGGGAAACAGATTTATAACAATACATGGATGCACTGAATTAGAAAAGACAGTTTCAGAGCAATGACATGCTTTTTTTCCCCTCTGATGCACATTCCACTGAGATATGTCAAGTACAGTGTATAAAAAGTTTACAAGTTTTGAAAGCCTTACCAACCCCTTTCTATTGTTGTTTTTGTTGCTGTTGTTCTTTTGACTTTCCCTTGTTTTGTTTGTGTTTCCTCGAATTAGAAACACCCTTTCTAGATTGCTGTGTTAGGGAGAAGGTTATAAATTATAGTTTATCCTCTTACATTCTAAGCTTAATTGCTATATTTCTTGAGGAAAACCTTACAAAAAAGCATATCTGTCATGTCAGCAGAGAAGCCCACATCCATCAATGAAGGATGAAGTTATCCCAGTTTATCATAAAGAGCCACTGCTGGAATAAAATTGCTTTGAGGACAATCCAAAAAAAAAAAAGGAACTTACTCACTTGGAGGAAGTGAAAAGTTCAGTACAGCCCAGCTTTATTTAAAATTTTCAATCTTCATAGCCACCATAATGAAAGACTGAGGATTTGACTGATGACATTTTGTAACTAATATTACCTGCATTCACAAGTTCTGTTTAAATATCAAGGTTATTCAATTCTTATATATAATGAGACAATAAATGCTCTATTTTCAGATTTTATTTACCCAGATATTACATTTTTCTAAGCAAAATCAAACTAAGTAATAAATTTCTATTTGGTGCCTGGGAATGTTCTTGAGTCCAATATTTCTTCTAATATATGAAACTTTTCAACAATATTCCAGACAGACAGTGCATGCAGTCTGTTTTGCCTTTCCTACTGAGGAGCACTATTAAACTGAAAGGCAGTAGAGAGTTAAAACACTCACATGGCTGTTGGGTTGATAATGGCCTTCCATCCATTGTATATCCAATTTGGGTTGCAATACTGAAACAACTGCCAGGAAATTTATCACCCCTACCTCCCCATTATTTCTTTGTACTCCAAGCACATTCATTGAGAACCACTTATTAGAAATCCATTGTGGTCTAGAAATGTGGCACCTGCTGTGAACTCATGGGTGAGCAGTACAAATCTCACCTTACCCTTAAGAATCTTATAGTTGGCATGGGGTGGTGGCTCATGCCTGTAACCCCAGCAGTTTGGGAGGCCGAGGCAGGCTGATCACCTGAGATCAGGAGTTTGAGACCAGCCTGGTCAATATGGTGAAACCTTGTCTCTACTAAAAATACAAAAATTAGCCCAGTGTGGTGGCGGGCACCTGTAATCCCAGCTACTTGGGAGACTGAGGCAGGAGAACTGCTTGAACCCGGGAGGTGGAAGTTGCAGTGAGCCAAGATAGTGCCATTGCACTCCAGCATGGGTGAAAAGAGCAAGACTCCGTCTCCAAAAAAAATAAATAAATAAAAAATAAAAACCTTATAGTCTGATTTGGGATGTAAAATACATGTAATTACAAAAAAAATGTGATTTGTAATATGGTGATATATACAGATAGTTATATGAGTATATGTACGGAAATGATGCTTCATTTTGTACTGAGGTTGCAGGGAAGGTTTCTTGGGAAGAAGGATGTATAATCAGATTGCTAAATTCTAAGGAAGAATTTAAAAAGTGAAGCAAAACACCAAAAATAACCAAAATTGTGGCTGAAAGTCAAATCCAAAATGACTGCTAGTAAGTGTGTTAAACAAATCACAATATTTCTACATCTATTTTTTACAAGAGTCTAATATATTAAGAAATTTAAAATCCTATTTACATATAAAAAATTAAAGCTCAGGGAAATAGCGGATTATCCAGTGTTACACAGCTAATAAGTAGAATATCCAACTGATGAATATATTTATCCAGGAACAATTGTAAACTCCAGGAATCATGGTCACTGCACAGAGTATGCACTCAATTTTTGATTGTTAAATTAAAGAATGTATGAATTATTTTACTGTCATTCACTTATTGTTATATTGTTTTTATTTTACTAGGCAGAGAAAGCAGTTTATATAAATGCTTGGAGGCTAGATAATACATGATTGATGCTTTTAGAGATTTGAAAGTGTTTTAGCTTAACATAAACTTTTGCTTCTTATTCAAAAATTCCCAAATGTAGTATAACACATTTTTTTCTCTTTAAATTTTATCTGCATTGCACAGTAAGACAGAAGCCTGGTACATATTATTAGGTGTCTCCCACAAATGTGATTTAAAAAGTGAAAAGTTAGATTTTAGTTTCAGGGGAGCCATTTACTAGAATTGTGATCATGGAGAAATAAAAAATGAAAGTTTTTCCCATATGTAAAATGCCATAAAATGATCTCTCTCCACAAGCTTATTGTAAGGTTTTAGCTAAACTGCCTATGTACGTTCTCTATCATAGTACCTGCCAATATCGAGCACTCAATGTTAGTATCCTTTCCTTTGCTCAATTTTCAAACTGAATTTATTGCTTTTCATGAATTGTTAGTATTTTGTTATTTTACAGATTAGAAAAGCTGCAAATTGGGTATTTCCAACCTATACAATTACTAATACGAATTCTAAACTTTTGGTGGTAGAAAACATATCATGTAGAGTTGGGTTTTATAGTACCTAAAATATGACTTTAATATTGATTTTACTTCTAGTGTCATGTAATTTTTGTGGAAGGGAAGCTCTAAACTATAGCTTATGTTTCTTTGAAAAATAAGGACCGTAATTATAAATGTTGGCACCTGTGTATACAACTTACTTCAACAAACTATATGTGTTATGCCTAATTGATATAAGGCATTATACAAAGTGCTGCAAGGCACTATGAGATGTACCTATAATCTGATAAAGAATTTGTATAAATAGGGCAATATTAAAAATAAATAATAAAGAGAGGATAAAAAAGATTTTGGAATTTAGAATCACATAATTTAAATATTAAATTATTGTGGTTAGCTCAAGAGAGCAAGGACTTAAATATGACTAGGGTTTTACACCTCACAATAGGAAGGCTGGCATCATTAATCGAAAGAAGGAACTAAGAAGATGAAAGGTTTTGGGAGGATATTGAGTTTAGATCATTACAAAATGGACTATCAATGGGACAAGTGATGTAAGTTGTACAAAAAGTTCATCTGAAGTTTGATCTAGAAATGAGAATTTTAATGCCACATGAAAAATGGTTAGAGGGTGGAGCCAACTAGAAGCAGTGGCAATCAGAGGCTGCCATTGAAAATAACCACAGTAGCATGTGAATCATGCACTAGCAACCAAGGTAAACATATTCTCTCATCAGAACCAACTAGATGGCTGGCGTGATCCACGGAGAGGAAAGAAGAGCAGCGTGGTGTGGTGGCCCACCGGAGAGCCACATGGGACAGGGGAGCCTCCACCCCACAACGAAGGAAGGCAATGGGTGAGCATGTTACCCAGCCAGGGAAACAGTGCTTTTTCTACAGAACTGAGCAACCCACGGATTGGAAGTTCTCACTGGTGAACCCATGCCACTGAGGCTTAGGGTCCCAATCCCAGAGCCATGCAGATTCTCAACAGCCTCTCAGCTAGAATCTGCTTAAGCCTGTCAAGGTCTCAGGGGGAAGGGGCGGCGAGCTCCACAGCTGCGGCTGCCTCCTAGCTAAGCATTTTGAGCTCCTTGAGGGAGGGGCAGCAGTCAGCACTGGGACTCATAACTGCCTCACACACCAAGCTCCCTGGGTTGGGGAAAGGCAGCATCCATCTCTATAGCTCCAGGCCATGCTTTTCCCCTTCTGGAACCAGGAAGCCTGAATGGCTTGGTCCCAAGAGGTGTCCCCCACAGCCCAACACACCAGCTATGGCAGACTGCAGCAAGAGTGCCTCTTCAGGCCTGACCCTGACTCATACTTTCTCAGTGGGTGGGGCCTCCCTGCAGGAACTCCAGCAACTCCAGCCAGAGGGTCAGGGACAGAACCCTGATCTCCCTGGGCCTGAGCCCCTAGCAGGAAGGGTGGCCACCATCTGCCGACCAGCAGACTTAGCCTTTCCTCCTGGTAGTTCTGAGGAATCCAGGCAGCCCAGACAATTGGGTTTCCCCCCAGCAAAGCCTACCCCCTCTACCAAGGGACAGTCAAAGTGTTTTGTTAATGGGTCCCGTTCCCTGTGCCACCCAACTGGGTGAGACCCTCCAACAGAGGTTGTCAGACACCCTATACAGGAGCTATCCTACTGATACCAGGTTAGTGCCTGTCAAGGTCAGAGATCCCAGAAGAAGGAGCAGGCACCCAACTTTGCTGTTCTCCAGCCTCCTTGAGTGACATCTCCAGGTGCAGGAGTAAAGCAGATGAATAGGGCCTGAAGTGAACCCCCAGCAAACCACAGCAGCCCTACAGAAGGAGGGCCTGACCACTGAAAGAAAAACAATCAAACAGAAAGCAATAACAACAGCATCAACAACAACAACAAAAAGTCCCCACAAAAACCCCAACCAAGGGTCAGCAACCTGAAAGATCGAAATAAGAAAAAGTCATAAAGATGAGAAAGAATCAATGAAAAAAAGCTGAAAACCCCGAAGGCCAGAGTGCCTCTTCTACTCCAAATGATTGCAATTTCTCTTCAGCAAGGATGAGGATGAGATGGACAAATTGACAGAAGTAGGCTTCAGAAGATAGGTAATAAAAAACACTGCTTAGCCAAAGGAGCATATTGTAACCCAAGGCAAAGAAGCTAAGAACCTTGATAAAAGGTTAGAGGAGCTGCTAACTAGAATAACCAGTTCAGAGAGGACCACAAATGACCTGATGGAGCTGAAAAACACAGCACAAGAACTTTGTGAAGCATACACAAATGTCAGTAGCCAAATCAACCAAGTGGAAGAATGGATATCAGGGTTGGAGGACCACCTTGTTGAAATAAGGCATGCAGACAAGATTAGAGAAAAAAAGAATAAAAAAGGAATGAGCAAAGCCTCCAAGAAATACAGGACTAGATAAAAAGACCAAACCTATGATTGACTGGAGTACCTGAAGAACACACGCAGAATGGGAACAAGCTGGAAAACACACTTCAGGATACTATCAAGGAGAACGTCCCCAACCTAGCAAGATAGGCCAACATGAAAATTCAGGAAATACAGAGAACACCACTAAGATACTCCATGAGAAGAGCCACCCCAAGACACATAGTCATCAGCTTCTCCAAGGTTGAAATGAAGGAAAAAATGTTAAGGGCAGCCAGAAAGAAAGGCCAGGTCACCTACAAAGGGAAGCCCGTCAGACTAACAGCAGACCTTTCAGCAGAAACCCTAAAAGGAAGAAGAGATTGAGGGCCAATATTCAACATTCTTCAAGAAAAGAATTTTCAACCCAGAATTTCATATCCAGCCAAACTAAGCTTCATAAGCAAAGGAGAAATAAAATCCTTTCCAGACAAGCAAATGCTGAGGGAAATTTCATCACCACCAGGCCTGCCTTGCAATCACTCCTGAAGGAAGCACTAAATATGGAAAGGAAAAACTGGTATCAGTCACTGCAGAAAACACCTCAAAATATAAAGACCAATGACACTATGAAGAAACTGCATCAACTAGTGGGCAAAATAACCAGAAAGCATCATGATGATGGATCAAATTCAACATAACAATACTAATCTTAAATGTAAATGGGCTAACTGCCCCAGTTAAAAGACACAGACTGGCAAATTGGAAAGAGGCACCCTTAGGGGTGCTGACAAATTGGAAAGAGCACCCTTAGGGGTGCTGTATTCAGGACACCCATCTCACATGCAAAGACATACAGAGGCTCAAAATAAGGTGATGGAGGAAAATTTACCAAGCAAATGGAAAACAAAAAAAAGCAGGAGTTGCAATCCTATCTCTGACAAAACTTCAAACCAACAAAGATCAAAAAAGACAAAGAAGGGCTTCACATAATGGTAAAGGGATCGATTCAGCAAGAAGAGCTAACTCTCTTAAATATATGTGCACTCAATACAGGAGCACCCAGATTCATAAAACAAATTCTTAGAGACCTACAAAAAGACTTAGACTCCCACACTATAATAGTGGGAGATTTTAACACCCCACTGTCAATATTAGACAGATCAAGACATAAAATTAATAAGGATATTCAGGGCTTGAATTCAGCTCTGGATCAAGTGGGCCCAATAGACATCTACAGAACTCTCCACCCCAAATCAACATAATATGCATTCTTCTCAGTGCCACATGGCACTTATTCTAAAGCCAACCACATAATTGGAAGGAAAACACTCCTCAGCAAATGCAAAAGAAGTGAAGTCATAACAGTCACTGCACAGACCACAGTGCAATCAAATTAGAAGTCAGAATTAAGAAACTCACTCAAAATCACACAATTACACTGAAATTGAACAACCTGCTCCTGAATGACTCTTGGGTAAATAATGAAATTTAAGGCAGAAATCAAGAGTTTCTTTGAAACCAATGAGAACAAAGAGACAACGTACCAGAATTTCTGGGACACAGCTAAAGCAGTGTTAAGAGGAAAATTTATGGCACTAAATGCCCACATCAGAACGCTAGAAAGATCTGAAATCAACACCCTAACATCACAATTAAAAGAGCTAGAGAAACAAGAGTAGACTAATCCAAAAGCTAGCAGAAGACAAGAAATAACTAACATCAGAGCAGGATTGAAGGAGATAGAGACACGAAAAAGCTACCAAAAATCAATTAATCCGGGAGGTGGATTTTAGAAAAAATTAACAAAATAGGTAAAGCACTATCTAGACTAATAAAGAAGAAAAGAGAGAAGAATCAAATGGACACAAAACAAGATAAAGGGGATATCACCACTGACCCCAAAGAAATACAAACTAGCATTAGAGAATACTATGAACACCTCTACCAAATAAACTAGAAAATTGAAAAGAAATGGATAAATTCCTGGACACATACACCCTCCCAAGACTAAACCTAAGAGAAGTTGAATCCCTGAATAGATCAATAACAAGTTCTGAAATTGAGGCAGTAATTAATAGCCTATTCACCAAAAAAAGCCCAGGACCAGGTGGATTCACAGCCAAATTCTACAAGAGGTACAAAGAGGAGCTGGTACCATTCCTTCTGAAACTATTCCAAACAATTGAAAAGGAGGGCTAACTCATTTTATGAAGTAAGTATCATCCTGATACCAAAATCTGGCAGAGACACAACAAAAAAAGAAAACTTCAGGCCAATATCCCTGATGAACATGAATGCAAAAATATTCAATAAAATACTGGCAAATCAAATTCAGCAACACATTAAAAAACTTATTGACCATGATCAAGTCAGCTTCAACCCTGGGATGCAAGGTTAGTTCAACATATGCAAATCAATAAATGTAATCCATCACCTAAACAGAACCAAAGACAAAAACCAAATGATTATCTCAATAGATGCAGAAAGGGCCTTTGATAAAATTCAACATCCCTTCATGTTAACAAGTCTCAATAAACTAGGAATTAATGGAACATATCTCAAAATAATAAGATATATTTATGAAAAACCCACAGCCAATATCATATTAAATGAGCAAAAGTAGGAAGTATCCCCTTTGAAAGCCTGTACACGACAAGGATGCCCTCTCTCACCACTCCTATTCAACATAGTATTGGAAGTTCTGGCCAGAACAATCAGGCAAGAGAAAGAAATAAATGGTATTAAAATAGGAAGAGAGAAAGTCAAATAGTCTCTGCTTGCAAATGACATGATTCTATATTTAGAAAACCCCATCATCTCAGCCCAAAATCTCCTAAAGCTGATAAGCAATTTCACCAGTCTCAGAATACAAAATCAATATGCAGAAATCACAAGCATTCCTATACACCAACAGTAGGCAAGCAGAGAGCCAAATCATAAATGAACTCCCATTCACAATTGCTACAAAGAGAATAAAATACCTAGGAATACAGCTAACAAGGGATGTGAAGAACCTCTTCTAGGGGAGCTACAGACTGCTGCTCAGCAAATAAGAGAGGACACAAACAAATAGAAAAATATTCCATCCTCGTGGATAGGAAGAATCAATATTGTGAAAATGGCCATACTGCCCAAAGTAATTTATAGATTCAGTGCTAGTCTCATCAAACTACCGTGGATATTTTTCACAGAATTCGAAAAAACTACTTTAAATTTCATATGGAATCAAAGAAGACCCCGTATAGCCAAGACAATCCTAAGCAATAAGAACAAAGCTGGAGGCATCACGCTACCTGATTTCAAACTATACAACAAGGCTACAGAAATCAAACGAGCTTGCTACTGGTACCAACACAGACATATAGATCATTGGAACATAACAGAGACCACAGAAATAACACCACACATCTAAACCATCTGATCTTCAACAAACCTGACAAAAAACAGCAATGGAGAAAGGATCTCCTATTCAATAAATGGTGCTGGTATAACTGGCTAGCCATATGCAGAAAACTGAAACTGGACTCCTTCCTTACACCTTATACAAAAATTAACCCAAGATGGCTGCAAGAAAACCTAGCCAACACCATTCAGGATATAGGCATGGGCAAAGAATTCATGATGAAAATGCAAAAAGCAATTGCAACAGAAACCGAAATTGACATATGGGATCTAATTAAACTAAAGAGCTTCTGCATAGCAAAAGAAACGACCATCAGAGTGAACAGGCAATCTACAGAATGGGAGAAAAATTTTGCAATCTACCCATCGGACAAAGGTCTAATATCCAGAATTTACAAGCAACTGAAACAAATTTACAAAAACAAACAACCCCTTCAAAAAGTGGGCAAAGGGTGTGAATAGACACTTCTCAAAAGAAGACATTTACATGGCCAACAAACATATGAAAATAACCACAACGTCACTGATCATTAGAGCAATGCAAATCAAAATCACAATGAGATACCATCTCATGCCATTATTAAAAATTCAAGATGGCAATTATTAAAAATTCAAGAACATAGATGCTGGTGAGGCTGTGGAGAAATAGGAATGCTTTTACAGTGTTGATGGAAACGTAAATTAGTTCAACCATTGTGAAAAACAGTGTGGTGATTCCTCAAGGATCTAGAAACAGAAATACCATTAGACCCAGCAATCCTGTTACTGGGTATATACCCAAAGAAATATGAATCATTCTACTATAAAGACACATACACATATATGTTTATTGCAGCACTATTTACAATAGCAAAGCCATGAAACCAACAAAAATGCCCATAAATGATACACTGGATAAAGAAAATGTGGTACATATACACCATGGAATACTATGCAGCCATTAAAAGGAATGAGATCATGTGCTTTGCAGGGTCATGAATGAAGCTGGAAGCCATCATTCTCAGCAAACTAACACAGGAACAGAAAACCAAACACCGCATGTTCTCACTCATAAGTGGGAGTTGAACAATGAGAACACTTGGACACAGGGAGGGAAACAACATATACCAGGCCTGTTGGGGGTGGAGGGTGAGGGCAAGAAACTTAGACGATAGGTCAATAAGTGCAGCAAACCACCAAGGCACACATATACCTGTATAACAAACCTGCACGTTCTGCACATGTATCCCGGAACTTGAAGTGAAAAAAAAAAATAAGAAAAAATAAAGTTCTGAAAGAAGAAAAAAAATGTGGTTAAGTGGCAAAATAGGATTTCAATGGCAAAAGATAGATAGATAGATAGATTTTTTTTTTTTTAAGACAGAGTTTCACTCTGCCACCCAGGCTGAAGTGCAGTGGCGCGATCTCTGCACACTGCCACCTCCACCTCCCAGGTTCAAACGACTGTCGTGTCTCAGTCTCCCAAGTAGCTAGGATTTCAGGCCTGCGTCACCACATCTGGCTAATTTTGTTGTTGTTGTTGTTGTTTGTTTTGTTTTGTTGTAGAGATGGGATTTCACCATGTTGACCAGGTTGGTCTTCAACTCCTGACCTCAAGTGATCTGCCCGCCTCAGCCTACCAAAGTGCTGGGATTACAGCAGTGAGCCACTGTGCCTTGCCTAGATAGATGAATTTTAAAAGCCAAAGATGGAACCTAAACTGGTGGAGTATTTGTACTTACAGAAAATAAGCTTCAAGAGAAGCAGGCAAGGAAATAAGAGAAGGAGTAATATGGAAGAAAAGAAGAAAAAGAATGGTAGAAAAAAAAAGATTGTTATCAGAATTAATTAACGACTAAAATTTTTAAGATTAAAACTAAAAAGGGACTACTGGATTTGACAAATATACTTTTGTTCATTACACAGTAATCAGTTTTTACTGCTTATTTCATAGCATTTATTATTAAATTATTACTCCCATCAATATGAAGGAGATTTAATGATGGTTGAAAATAACAAAGAGTAAATAATCCTCTTATGGTTTTTTTCCCCATATTTCCTAAGTAGAGTGGAATCATTAGAGCAGATTCTACTTACCTTCATTAATCTAATTTTAGGAAGCTCTAAGGAAAGGGTAATCCATGTATGTAGAATAAGTAAGTTTTCGGTAGTGTGAATTCACTGAGATTTTTATATTGATTGGTTATATATTAAATCTATATAAGCCTATTATTCCATTGCTAAAAATACCCACACTGGGTAATTTATAAAGAAAAGAGGTTTTTAATTGGCTTAAGGTTCTGCAGGCTGTACAGGAAGCATAGTGGCATCTGCTGCTGAGGAGGTCTCAGAAAACTATGATCAGGCAGGAAGGCAAAGGGAGAGCAGGTACGTTACATGGTGAAAGCAGGGACAAGAGCGAGACAGAGGGTTCCACATGCTTTTAAATAACCAGATCTTGAGAGAATTCTCTCACTATCGCAAGGACAGCACCCAGGGGAAGGTGCTAAGCCATTCATGAGAAATTTGCCCCCATGATCCAACCAACTCCCACCAGGACCTACCTCCAACATTGGTGATTATATTTCAACATGAGATTTGGGCCATGACACGCAATCAAACTACATCAAATCCTATTTTCTTATAATTTTTTTGCCAATGTAATAGCTTAAGACACACTAGAATAAAGAGTAGTAAGAAAGCTCTAAGTCAAGAGAAACTCTCTTCATTAAAATTACAATGTTAGTCATCATTAAAACAATCTCTACTTGAATCTTTTCTATATTTCATAATTAAATGTAGTGTCCAATGTAAGCTTTTCTTTCTATGGTGGTGGTGGTTGTAAAGAATCAAATTTTATGTAAACTTGGTCAATAATATAATTGTCTCATTATACTATATTGTTTTGGCTGTTTGGCAGGATTTTTCTTCCCAAAACATGTATTTTTTTTATTTTCCAAGGGTCCTCAAAACATACTTTCTTTCAGAAAGTTACTATCTCCAGTTTGGTGCCCCTGTGTTACTAATGCAGATAAGCAGCTTAGAGGAATAGATCTTTTAGTTAAGTATTTTTTTAAAATATGGCTTATTTTCCCTAGACTCCTTTGGTTTATGTGAGAATTTGTATTGTTAAGATAAAATTGTATTCTATTATCTTCAGCAGATACCTTCCAAGACCACCTCCTGCAGTGATACCAAAAATGCTGGATAGTACCAAACTCTATATATACTAATGTTTGTTCCTATACATACATACCTATAGTAAAGCTTAATTCATAATTAGGCATAGTGAGAGAATAACGACAACAATAGTAAAACAATATTCCAGCATCACGACTCTTGCACTTTCAAGTTATTACAAGTAAAATAAGGGTTACTTGAACACAAGCACTGCGATACCACTAAGTCAATCTGATAACAGGAACAACTACTAAGCGGCTAATGGACAGGTTACTGCCTACAGGGTGGATATTCTGAGGCAAAGAAATAATTCATGTATCACGCAGGATGGAGCAGGACAGCATGGGATTTCATCGTGCTGCTCAGAATGCTACTCAATTTAAAGAATATGAATTGTTTACTTCTGGAATTTTTTATTTAATATTTTCAGACCTCAGTTGGCTGTGGGTAACTGAAACCACAGAAAGCAAAACCGTAAATAAGGGGGGAATACTGTCTACATCCCCCTAAACTGGTAGGCTTCTTTAGAAAATGTTCTAGCCAATGTTGGCAAACTAGGGATTAATGTTTTATACCATCCAGAATCTACATATTGATAATTGATATCTTTAGAATGAAGAAATGTATCTTTACCATCACGGGTATTTGTTTATTCTCCACATATGTCAGAGGAAATGTGCAAGTATTCACCTGCACATCTACAAATAGATATAAGCCTATAAAAGCTTAAAATAGAAAAGGCTATAACAGTTTAATGAAGAACCAACTGCATTGTTCATCTCTCATGTCTCATTTAATATCACTGAGTGTGAAATGGAGCATAAACTAGTTAGAACATTTAAAATTTCCATACTTTCTTGCCTCATGGCTAAGTTCAACCCAAGTTGAACAGTTATCCTAAAGGCTGAACCAGTTATGTCACCATCCAGGATCAGAAGGAAGGTGAAATACACCTGGATCTGTCTTTCCAACGTTAGTTTAACCTCAGATTCGCTTATTGTAGGTGGCTTTGAACGGCTGGCATGTTTCCTACAATAAGCCACTGAAAAGGGCACATTATGGCTTGGTGGCCTTTAAGTGCACTTTCTTCTTTCCTGAGCTTTAATTTTTGAGCCAGTCCTCCTCTTCCTCTCTATGTGGTTCTGCTGGGATTGTCACACAAGGATATGCCTACTTCCTCCATTATTGAGATGGGCTCATATTTTGGGGTGGAGCAAAACAATAAATTGGGAGCACCTCTATGTACACCGTGTGAGAGGGGACTGCTTTCTTTACCCTGAGATCACTAACTGTAAGCCTGGGGTAGCTTGCGGTCATATTAATACTAATTATAGAGATACGATCTAAAAATAAAGTTAACAGAATTAAAAGGAGAGGGAGAAAGAGGAAAGAGGCAGGGGAAGAGAGAGTGAGAGAGAGAGAGAAAGAGGAGCAGCCAACAGTGTTTTAACTTCAAGTCCGGGTTGAATGTCACGTCACTTTTTGGGTATTTCAGACACTAGAGCTGAAAAATTACATTTTAGTCTAAGGTAGTTTGAGTTGAGTTTGTGTCATTTGCAGTGGAAAGGCTCCTGCCTATTTCCAGCATATTAGGTTTGAGTTTTTCTTAGAAACATTTTTAGATAAGAATAAAAGGTAATGATACTGAGCCATTATTCTAAAAGTTCTGTGAAAGTCCAGAATAAATATCTTTATTCATTTACTCATTTTTTTTTAAATTTAGGGGGTCTACTTCGCACCGGGTATTGTTCCAGGAACTGCAAATACAGTTATGATCTAGGAAAAATTCTAAAACCTCTGGTGTGGAGTGGTACACATGAAACATAAATAATTTCAGTAGCAAATAAATGCCATAAAGAAAAAAAAAAGGACTATTTGCTCTTAGGGACAGTAGTTGGGGAAAGCAGAACTTTCCTTGAATGATGAGGCAGCCTAACACACAATGATCAGGATTCCAAAGAAAGGATTGAACTTGTCTTGCTCAAAAAACTTAAAAAAGGGGCTAGGCGCCATGGCTTACTCCTGTAATCCCATCCCTTTAGGAGGCCGAGGCGGGCAGATCACTTAAGGTCAGGATTTCGAGACCAGCTAGCAAGGCGAAAACCCGTTTCTACTAAAAATACAAAAAATTCGCCGGGCGTGGTGGCGCACGTCTGTAGTCCCAGCTACTGGCACAAGAATCACGTGAATCTGGGGGACAGAGTTTGCAGTGAGCCGAGATCGCGCCACCGCACTCCAGCCTGAGCGACAGCGTGAGACTCCATCTCAGAAAACAAACAAACAAACAAACAAGCAAACAAACAAAACTTTAAAAAGGCTGGAACACTGAGAAGAGGTAAATGAGGGGGAGTGCAGAAAGCAATATCAGAGAATACGATTTTGTTGGTTATTCTAATGATTTTTATATTTATTCTAATTGCAAAGGAAAATGATTGAGAATTTTTCCTTAAGGCAATGTTACGATTTTTTTCTTTATAATTTCTACCAGCTGTTCTGTGGAGAAGATATCGAGAGAAAGAGTGAAACAAAAAAAAATCAATAAGAAGACTGTGTTATAGCATAAAAAATAAAGACATTATCTTGAGCTAAGTTAGCAATGAATATGAAAGTAAGTGAATGGACTAGTTATGTAATTTGGAAATGGTACAATAAAATTGACCAATAGTTGAGGGTGCTGGAAGAGAGGATGGTCAACAGTGAGAGAAAAATCAACTGTGAAAGTGATGTGGGAAGACTGGTGGAGACGCTTGTATTCCTTGTCTGCCCTTATATTCTTAGGATTAGAGATTCCTTCAGATTATAAAAGGAAATAGCCATAGTGATTTCAAGTTTTGCTTTTCATTCATTAAGATCTGAGTTCAGTTCCTGACTACCATTTCTTAGATGTATGACTCTTCATTAAATAATCACATATTGCTCTCTGTTGTCAAGCTAGGCACAGAGGAGACAAACGTGAAGTAGACAGCTATATTCTCTGTCTCCTCTGCTGGAGAGTAGAATGGCAAGCAGAAAAACCTGTGTAGATAAAATAATTCGAGATTGTAGATAAGTGCTATACAGGGAATAAATAAGGAATAAGGGAAACTGACTCTAGATGACACGATAACCACAAAAGAGCTCTCTGATGAAGTGACAGCTAGAATTAAAGCCCAATGTTTGGAGGAAACAAATCAAGCAGAGGCTGAAGGGAATGTTCATGGGATAGGAGAGCATACAAAAAAGGCTTGTGGCTTGAGTTTCTTCATCTGTTAAAGGAGAATGATAACAATCTTTACACAAATATTTGAGAGTTAATAGAAAGTATATGCAGGAGTAAGTACAGTTATGGAAGTATCTTCAAAATGAAATAAAGGGTATTAAAACTTTCCTAATTAGTAGAATTATTAAAACAGGAAGTTAGTCATTGGTGTTGTGAGCGCTTGTTTAATTTTAGGACAGTGCTCCTAGCTATGAAGCCCAAGTCTCCCATATACAACTTTTGTAATTTCAGAAAAACTCCTTATTAAGGTCATAGAATCTCAGGTTTCTTTTCTGAAAAATAAGATTAGTCCTGTGGGTCAGCCTCCCAGTCAGGGAAGACAAGGGTGGAGATAATCTGGAGGAGCAAACGAAAATAATCAGTACAAGGTCATTATTTCAGCTTTACAGATGAGGAAACTGTGGTGAACTTTCATGTAATTACTAGCTGCTAGAATTGGAGTTCAGGCCCAGGCAGGCAGTCTGAATCCCAAATCTATGGTCAGTTTTCAGGTATATAACTGCCTCTTATTGCCCACGTACTTTAACACTATCTTTTATTAAGTTCTCCTTGAAGGGAAATTTAAAGCTGAAAGCTATGTAAGTGATCTTATATATCTTCTTAGGAAACAACTTTCTCCATGCTTTATGTCAGTAGTTTTCAAACAGAGGGTAATTTTTGCCGCCCTCCTCACCAACGGACATTTGGCAATGAGTGGGGGCATTTTTACTTGTCATAACTTGGGGGTGGGGAGAGAGTAGCGTTGCTAGCACCTTATGTAGAGGCCAGGGGTGCTGCTAAAAATCTTGCAATACTCAAGACAGTCCCCTCACAACAAATAATTATCCAGCTCAATATGTCACTAGTGCTGAGACTGGGAAACTGTGGGTTAAGACAATAAGGTAAATATTCTACTAATGGTGGAGAAGGTGGTGTACAAAACAAAAACAACGAGAACCTACAAGCTGGCTGAAGGGGACAAGATAAAATGACTGAGGAACATACAGAAAGAAATTTCCTAAACCACAATGGATAAGAGTTTTTACTTTCTCTAGAGGTGTAATCTATAAGAATGGCATGAGGGATGGCCTCTGTGAATAATCGCTTTTTGATGTAACTCATTCTTGAAGATATGATATTGCTTTTCAGAAGTTGTAATATGGAAGGAGGAAATACCTTTTACAACCTAGATATTTTGCAAACTCACTGTTCTTATGAATAATTTTTCAAGCATTTGATGACAAGTAGATGGAAGATCAATGAGCCCTCTCTTCCAGGGATGAGGTCTAGAAAGTCAGAAGGTCTATATTAAATCTTACTGATATACATGCGTCAGAATAAGAGGTTGACATTTTAATACTTGAAAATCTTGTTTCCACCCTGCAGTGGCTGTTTGTCAAATTTTAGCCCTTGAGTATTTCAAATTTCTTCTATGTCCTTACATTCTGGCAGAATATCTTTTGGTGGGATCTATCTATTTCAGATGCTGTGGGCTAGTGAAATTAGTAGTGAAAGTTGACTGACTCCATTAAAACTGAGTCATACAATCTCGTCAAGTTCTGACAAAAAATAGGAAGAGTCTCAGTTAAGATGGACAGGAGATCTGCTAAAGTTAATTTGAGTCACGGTTAAAATCATGGGCTCTGGATCCAAACACTCTTGATTCAAATACAAACATAACCTTTTATTAGCTGCATGTCTTGGAGAAATTTACTCAGTAGAGCTCCATCTCAGTTTCTTGAACACTAAAATGGGCATTAGTAATCGTACCTGCCTCATAAAGTTTTTGTAAGAAGCAGATTATATAATTACAAAGGTTACTAAAAGAGGTTTTAATACATTTTCATAAGTAATATCTTTATATACAAGTAGGCAGTCAGTTAATGGAACAACTAATGTATTCCAGATGTATCTCAATAAAAGACCACATACTCAAAGTAGATGTCCATATATGGATGAATCCAAGTTAATGCTATTGAGTATGTTATTTCAAGAATGGCTAACCAGGATCTTCTGGAATTCAACAACATATTTAGTAGCAATCAGAATAAAGAACTGTTACCAACACATTGAACCAAACAGAATATCATTAAGTCATATTTATTTTGAGTTTGATATAAAGGATCAAAAGTAATGTGGTTTTAACTAGCTTAAAATCTAGAGTCCTTGAAAGGAATGATACTACGGGTAAAGATGAACAATAGCAAACTCTAAAATAGGCTCTTCCTTCGTAAACTATTCTATGTATGATAGGAAGGGGTCTCCTTCTTCCTTTGAGTAGAGGACATGGATTTGCCTAAGTAATAATGTCCCAGTGGGATGCTTTGAGGAAAAGACTGGGATTTCCTTACTATTATCCCACTATTCCTAATAGGTGAGATAGGTTATGCTTTGATTGGGAAGAAGAAAGCTGTGACAGAGCTGTCTCCCGGGAGTGAAGCCAAAAAATACATGGGTTTGGGAGGGTTGTGGGCTCATTTGTTCTTGAACTGGGGAGCTGTCTCATACTGGATGAGATTCCTAATAGTTGGATTGGGAGAATTGGACATGAAGTGATTCAAGTGCCAGTGGTCAGCACTTTCTTACTCTTTCCATGTTTAAAGAAGGGCATGGAAATCTTGTGAACATCTCACACCAGATTTAGGTGCCTAGGATCCTAACACACCTTAGACCCTTTATAGGGCATTGGCTTTTTGGTCTTAGTTTTGCCACTTACGATAGAAGAATAAGGTCTTATCTGAAACTCAAAGACAGGCAATGTGTCTCACCACAGAATCAATAAGAGGTCAGCCGAAAAGGCAGGCAATTGAATTCTGAGAGGGAAGAGTGAGTCAGACAATGCAGGAAGAGTTGTGTGCAGCTGGTTAGCAGAAGAAGGGCTTAGAATCAAAACTAGGCTACTGGAGACAGTACAAGAAAGCTATTTTATTTTACTGGATATTCAGTGCCTTGACTCATATCTAGGATTAGTGTAAAGGGTTCTTCTGACAATAACACTGTAATGAAAGTAGCACAACTATAATGAAAATTATTTTTTGTTTGTTTTTCTCTGAAATAGAGGGAAAATAGGAATGATCAGTCATTCTGTGATGAATACAGAACATGAGAAAATCACTTCCCATCTGCTAGCTAAATAGACAAATAACCATAAATCTTTTAAATGATGAAAACAAGAAAATACAGTAAATATATCAAGAAAACTCTTTCGACATCTCCTACCAAAAACCAAAGAGGAAATTTTTGTTTAATTTTTAATGGACTGATTTTTGGTAGTGAAATTAATGCTTATAACATTTTTCAAGAAAGAAAAAATATTGATAAACACAGAATTTTAAATTTGTTCTAATTGTACTACTCTTTAGAAAATGGGCTTTAGGGTGGGCAAAAAAATTCCTTAGCTCATGGTTGTGCAGATTGACTATCACTTATCCAAAAAGCTTGAGACCAGAAGTGTTTCAGATTTGGGATTTCGGGGAAATTTTGGAATATTTGCATTATACCTGTTGAGCATTCCTATTCTGAAAATCTGAAATCTGAAATGCTGCAATGAGGATTTCCTTTGAGCATCATGTCAGCTCTCAGAAAGTTTCAAATTTGGGAGCATTTTGGATTTGGGTTTCAGATTTTCAGATTTGAGATGCTCAAACTGTACTGATATTTGCAAACTATATTTTTATCTATTTTAAAGTACATTAAAAGTTTTACATGATTCATTTTTTCCCGCTTTTTTAAGAGTCAGCTTTATTGATGTTTGGTTTACATTTTTTTTTACCATTTTAAGTGCAAGGTTTTATTAGTTTTAACAAATATATATTGTTGTGTTTAGTTAACATTTTAATACTGGTTTGTAGAGTCTTTGAGGAAAAAATTGCTAATAAAAGATAAGATCCTCAATTCCCAACTTTTAAAAGTTGACACTGAGGATTGCTTGAAAATACTGAAGAGAATTTCCAAGTTGAACCTTTTAGAGATTAAATATGCATATTTAGTTCTCTCATTAACCTAATGTAAAAAAAAAAACACACATATATATACATACTAATATTAAAAATATATTAGCACCCAAGCATAACACTTAGAAAATGATCACTATTTATTATACATTTTGACTTTAAAATTAAACCTTTGATAATTCCTGTGTAAATTATTACTTATTTTTATGTCAATAATTTGATGCATTAATTGTGTACATGTTCCTTGCTCTTAAAAAGTGTATCTTATATTAACTAAATGTTGGTTAACTATTTCTCTAATATACTTCAAGTTGCCATACTAAATATTCAGTGCATGCATGTATAACTTAAAATATAAATGACTGTCATAGCTTAACAGTTTTAAGAAAAAGACACACATTCTTTATTAAGATTCATAAATGATAAAATTGATAAATTTTTCAAATGTTTTAGGTTGGTTGCAGAAAAAAATAATAATGATAATGATATGATGTCAGAATAATGCTATATATTATGGCAAACTAATAACCTCCAGGGTGTTCAACTTCCATGAAATTCATTTCATATCTCATCTATTATTGAGGATCTGTGAAAAATAGTTTACTATTTCCCTCCTGAGTTATTTGGCAATGCAGGCTAGGCTCATGAAAGCAAAGAGATTAGATATTGTCATTTTCAAAGGGTAAAATCTGTGAAAGCTCTTTTCTAATTCTAGAAATGTCTGTGTGATAAAAATCCCTTTATGCAAATAACGTGAGAGGAACAAAACTCTGTCATTTTTCTCAGCTTTCAAAATACGTATATTATGTTCCTTTAAACTAGCACACTTATCAGAGGGGCTCTTTCTACAAATGCAGAATGGGAGATATATGCTCACATAGATGATATTTACTTCTTAAAAGTATTTACCCTTGGCGTTGCATAAAACTCTCCAGAGAAATGTTTTAATCTTTTCACACCTGGGAAGACCATTGCAATTTTAAGTCCATGTTGTATCCAGAGTTGTAGATGGTGATGATGAGTTTCACATGAAACAAAGAAATTGCTTGCAGTTTATCAGAAAATGTGTGCTCTTAGAAACTTACTTTCATATTTTCATTGATTTCCCATTGCCTATGAGTAAGACTTATTGATAGCTCAAGGCCTTCTGTGAAACGATGAAACAGTGTGCAAAACATTACTGAATGTGCATATGTGCATGAGAAGCAACAGCTTTAATCAGATCTCTGCAAGAGTTTGTAACCAATATAATACAATATCTTTCAACAAGGCCTTCCGAAGACCTTCAGAATGTCCATATTTCCTTTTGATCTGAATTACCAGTTTTATTGCCCACAAAAAGCACCTGCCCTAAGACCTGCCCTCCATTTTAATATTTCCGGGATTCTCTTGATTCCCTTCTGCTCCAGTTCCACCTATACAAATTCTACACAATCATCAGAGTCCTAATTACATATGATCCCATTTTAAAAGTCTGTGATACTCCTAA
Source organism: Homo sapiens (assembly GCF_000001405.40). Lineage (NCBI taxonomy): Eukaryota > Metazoa > Chordata > Mammalia > Primates > Hominidae > Homo > Homo sapiens. Next base: position 137,556,556 of record NC_000004.12, on the reverse strand, counting down.
AAAGAATTAAACCTTTTTGCTCCCATAGGCTCTTTTTCCAACCATGGCACTAATCGACACGGGTGTTTTGTGTTACTCTTTTGTGCACAGCTCATTATCTTGGATATAGTGAATGTTCTATGAAGCCTTGTTTATTTTTTGTCTTCAAAAATACCTAATTCAGAGCAATGCACAGGATGTCACAGGTATTGATTCAAATCAAATTAGGCTCTCAATTTATTCCAAACTATCTACTCTCCATGAATTCCATGATGATATAAGGTGAGGAGAAAAGAAGCAAAATAATGACCATCTAATCTTAGCAACTTTTGTTTTTCAAGCTTTCTCAATTTTTTCTGTCTTCATCTAGCAATTTTTTTTCTTTCCTCTGCTCCTTTTTTCCTTGGGCAATGGTACTGGGGTATAGGCTTTGCTAAATTTCATTACTTTTTCCTATCCTTTGCTATCCTGTATGGAACAACACAATAACTTATTTCATGGAACTTAATGGCCACTTTTTTTTCATTGCTTGAATTCAAAATGTAACTATAAGATTGAACATGTTGTAATTTGGTTTCATACATTTTCTTTCAGAATTTTGCCAGATGTAAAAATGCCTATATGTATATATGTATTTATATACATATATGTGTATTTATACATGAGTATATATGTATATAGGTATTTATATACATATATGTGTGTATTTACACATATGAGTATATATGTATATATGTATTTATATACATATATGTGTATTTATGCATATGAGCATATATATATATAATGTGTGTGTATACACACACACACAAAGAAAGAGAGAGAGGTTCTGACCCATTTGTGGCTTTCCTTGTCACTTTCATGGCCACAAAGGAACAAAAAAACTCTTCCTTTCAACTATGTATTTTAAATGTATTATCTCTATATTATTAGGCTTTTCTTTTTCTCCAGATTTCAAGGCTATTCTGCAAAAGGTACAGACTCCTAAGTCGACAGTTGTTCACCTATCCCCACCAACGCAAGTCTCTCAGAACCAGCTCCTTCTCAAGTCCTCAGGGAGGACTTCCTCCTTCTCCACACCTTCTTCCACACCCCTCATCTCGTTTCTGACAGCTCAAAGTTACTTTCTCTACCATCCTCTTCATTGTAGCCTGCTCCCTCTCTCTCATAGGAAAGTAGCCTCAGACATTTCATAGAATGATAAACTTCCTTGGCATAACTAATACTTGCCTCTCCCTTAAAATTGGTGATTTTTTTACAGATCACTTGAGTCTAGTACCCTAATTCTCTGTGTCTCAGGAATATTTTCATTAAAAGGTAGTGTTGGTATTCTCCTACATTGCACTGACACTTTTACATCATTAGTCTTCCACTTGAGACAGATCATTTCTTCTTTGATATTTACTTTATTTGATTATATTATAAATTATTATGTTTTCTCTTTTCATTGTTTCTCCCTACAAGTATTCCAATACTCCCCATGATTCATGAAATCTTATGTACACCGTACCTTTGATTCTTTTCTAACCAAACTTCTTCCATCACCGTACTTGATTTTGTCTACATGGAGGTCCTCAAGACAATAACTGGAAACTTCCTTGACTTTCATTAATTTCTAGCCCACTTTAATAACCCAGTCCTTTCCAACACTAAGCTTCTATAGTCAGAACACCTACCATAAACTATTATTAAGATCGTGACCATTTTACTAAGTCATCACATTTGTTAACTGGGAATATGAATACTTGCTCTGCTCAAATTTTAGTATTTGTGGAAGGGTCAAAACACATAATATATGTAAAAATGCCTTAGGCATCATCAAATCTTCATGAATCTAAAGTAATGTGATTTTGAAAACTTCAAAATCTGTTAGTCCAGTGTTCATCATTATGGAAGTATAAGATTTTAGGTATTCCACGGAGGGACTTTGATTTTTATTTCAATGGTTGTGAAATTTACTTTTTGAATTTACAAACTATACATTTCTTTAATGTAAAAATTAAAGATCTAATATGAAAATAATGGTGTTCCAGTATTGAAATGACACTGTCTGAGAAAATTTGGCAAACTCAGAGAATTCTGAAGCTCAAAATTCCAAACCACAAAATCACTTTGACAGTCTTTCTTTTACCTGAGAAAGGAGACACAACCTTTCACAGGAAAAATGGTCAATATCACAAAAATCATACCTAATTTTCTCTTGGCTGGTTATAAAATCCAAATTTAACGTGGTTAGAAGTGGGAAAAAATGCAGTTAGAGGAATAAAGGATGTGGTTGTTTTCTTCAACTATAGAAATATTCTTCCTCATGTTTTCAGAAATATGGTACAAATACATTTATTATTTTATTCATTTATTTAACAAAATATATTCACCATTCCTTGTGGGATGGGCATGTACTAGTTGCTAGAGATAAAATTATATGAATAACCATTAATTATTATAGCCTTTTTGAAACTTCGAATCTAATGAGAAAGAAAAAATCAATTAATCACAAAACATATGAAAACCCACAATTTTGACAAAAGCTAAATAGGAGAACCTATGATAGGATAATTTGACTTGCTTAGGGAGATCCGAGAAGATTTCCTTGAGAAAGCATTCTCCAACTAAGGTGTAAAAGGATAATCATTGACTAGATATAGAGAGGAGAAAAATGTACCAAGCAGAGCTAGTAAGTGCAAAGACCCTGTGGCAAGAGATCTTAGATAATACACAGGATTGAATGACATTTAGTGTTCTTACAAAAGAGAGACGGAAGGGAAGCAAAATAAGAGAAGAACTAGGAGTTAACCAAGGTATGGATCATGAAAGGTCTTATAAAATTCCACGCAGAGGGAAATTGATATAATCATTATCTTATTTTTTATTTTAAAATTATGTATTATTTTTGAGTATGTATATATATATTTATTAATATGGAAACTGATTTGGTTTTCCACTTATTTTCCTCTACTACAATTTATATTAGTGATGTAACTTTTCTTTTTTTTTTTTTTTTTGAGACAGGGTCTCACTTTGTTGCACAGACTGGAGTGTAGTGGCGTGAAAACGGCTCGCTGCAGCCTCAACCTCCCAGGCTCAAGTGATCTTCCCACCTAAAGTAGCTGGTATTTCAGGCATGTGTCACCAAGCCTGGCTAATTATTTTTATTATTTTTTGCAGAGCTGGATGTCTCACCATATTGGCCAAGCTGGTCTCAAATTCCCAAGCTCAAGAGATCCGCCTGCCTCCTCCTTCCAAGGTGTTGGGATTGTAGGTGTTAGCTACCACGCTTGGCTAAATCTTCTCCTTTTAAAACTTTTAAGTGAAAATACTAAGTCAGTTTGAAGAAAAAATAATTTAGTAAATAATGATATAGGTGATGCTCAGATATGCAAAAACCCATATAGGTGTTACAAGAATGACTAAAGTGTGTGAAGCACTGCTTTAGTCTAATACATGAATTTTTTGAATGAAAGAATTGAGACTTTTCAGAGATTGCTTATTATTGTTTGGTATTATAATACATCAAATTTGTTGAAGGAAAATGAAATGATAACAGTAAAGCTGACATCATTTTTAAATATTTTGTGATATTTGTAAATAGAAATTCTGTATTTTCAGGAACCAATTTTGTCTTATATGAGGTATCAGACCAAATACTGGTCCATTTATGTTGTTACAGACACTCTGTGACATAACACGTATATTCCTATGGAAAGTTTTGAATGGGTTCTAGACTGAGAGTCCTGGCTATGGCAAAACTAAAGCATAAATCAGACCATTAAGTATGCTACTTCTAGGAGCTGAAAGTGCTCACAGAATCTAGACTTTTTACAGCAATACTGGTTTGGCATAAAATCTTTCAGGCTCATTAAAGATAATCCAGGTAAAGGAAATTAAAATATTGAGAAAATTCTTCTCAAAATTTAACCCTCCATATTGTATTCTCTAAAAGTGTATTTTTAAAAACTAGAATTTAGATTATTCATGCTTTTGGTATCACTTGCTGAGCGGCTGACTAGGTGCCAGGAAATGTGCTAAATTCTACAAACTTATTATCTCACCTAATGCAACAAACTGTAATGTTAAGATCTTATTAGCCCTATGTAAAAAATAAAATCATTGAGAATTAGTAAATATCAGTAATTTGGCCAACGGTGCAAGACCAGTATGTGCCAATGCTAGAAATGGGAACTAAACCCAAGAAAATCTAATTCCAAAATGTCTGCTGTTAATCACCGTAAGATTTCTCTCCTCTCTTTGTCTCTCTCTCTAGCACACACACTCACATTTCCATACACTCATATGCACACACACACATATATAAACATGTATAAATATATTCACCTAGGCATTTATAAAATACAAATATCTGGAAATGACATAAACTAATTTCTTGTAAATTCATGACCTTGGATGATTAAATGGAAACCTTAAAGATGGAGCTTGATTGATCATGAATGTGCTTCAGCTATCCTTTGCCATTCACTCCCTTGTATTCCATTTACTCTGGGATCTACTTCCCACCTATTAATTATACAGTATCAAATGTTGTATTTCTACCTGAACAAAACATGAACATGGGCACCAGCAGCCTGCACATTACTTGTTAGTATATAAATCAATAAGAGTTTTTAAATTCCTAGTGCCTTCAGGTTGTATGTCAGATTCAGGAAGGTCAGTTGCCAGAAAGCCACATTGCTTGGAACAATTTCTGAATTACTGGCACTAGATATTGCCATATTGATTTATTGATTAAAACAACAATAATCTACAGGCTTAAGTGGCAAATGAAGCAAGTGAGTGATTATTTGTGGTATTCATTGTGTCTGTATATTTTTGAAATGTAAAATTATTACCATTCACTTAACTTATTTTTATAAAAATCATCTTGTAGGGTACTTCTCTGAAAAATCCTAAGGTTTAAAGTGATGCTTTTTCACTGAATCAATTTTTTTTAATGAGGATTCTTTAATCAAATTAGCTACAATATCATTATCACATCTTTAAAATTCCTTAAAATAAATATTTCCTAATTGTTTATCTTTTATTAAGAATTTCTTTGCTTAAAATGTCAATGAAAAGAAGAGCCATAATTTAAGATTAACTGAAATGTCTTTTAATGTAGAGTTTACCGTGTACTCTCTGGAATCTTTCTGGAATTTTTTGTTGAAGATCTGTTTTGATTTTTTTTAACAGAATTTTCTTTCCCACATTTTGGGTTTTGCTGATTGCATCCCAGCAGTGTCTTTAGCATGATTTTCTTCCCTGTATTCCCTGTAATTTGGTAATTAGATCCAGAAGGTTGATTAGATTTGTTCTAGGTGTTTTGGGCAAGTGTACTTTTTAAGTGTGTATTTTCATCAAGAGGCAAATAACGTCTCTGGTTGTCTTTTTGTGATATTATCAGTACTGATGATTATAGCCGATATCTTTTATTTCATTACAGATTGAAAAATGATGACATTCAATTTTTAACATTCCTTTTCTTTCGTTGAGCAGAATAATTCTAAAAGGAGGAATGTTCCCACATCAACTCTTTGGTTAACTGGAAGTACAAGTTATTTAGACAAGGCAGGGTAATTCTTAATTCCTTTCTTTTATTTACCAGATATTTGGTTTCTTAGCATCTTTAAAAGTTGACTAGTAAAATTTTTGTTTTTATTATCATTATGAATTCATGCAAACACGTTTCATGTATTTTAATACATTGTAGTTATTATCCTTCATAATGCTCAAATGATTTCATCTTTGGCCAGTGTGAGTTTATTCAAGCTTGATCCTGGGTCCTTAAAACATTTTTCTTATAGGTTTTGCTGACATTTTTGCTTTTTGTTATGACAAAATGATACAGATTCATCTTACACATTTCCTGTCTCAGACTTTGAAGCAACTATTTCCCCAAGGAACCCTAGATCCTTTCAATGGAAAATGATATTGAGAGACAACAGTTAGGGCACTAAAAGAACTCATTTCTCTTGAGTTGGTCTTTGATTCTAGACCTTTTCAGTGGCAAGAAATAGGAAATATAAGTATAAATCAGTGTGTTTATTTTCTTTTTTATTTTATTTACTTTTTTTGGCAGTGGGGAGGGACAGAGTCTCCCTCTGTCTCCTAGGCTGGTGTGCAGTGATGCGATCTCACCTCACTGCAACCTCTGCCTCCCTGGTTCAAGTGAATCTCCTGCCTCGACCTCCCAAGTAGCTGGGATTACAGGCGTGTGCCACTGCACCCGGCTAATTTTTTGTCATTCGCTTTTTTTTAATAGAGATGAGGTTTCACCATGCTGGCCAGGCTGGCCTCAAACTCCTTACTTCAAGTGATCCACTTGCCTGGGCTTCCCAAAGTGCTGGGATTATAGGCATAAACCACTGTGCCCAGCCCAGGGGATCTATTTTCCAAAAATGTTGTTCCATGTTATTTTTATTTCATGTTATTTTATATATATATTTTAACATTTATTTTTGTTTTGTAATTAAATAGCATATTTACATTATTCCAAAGTTCAACCTGTAAGTAGCATGTATGCAAAGAAATTCAGTTTATATCCTTCTCACCTCTACCCCATTTTCTTCCATCTCCTTTTTTTTCATTTTTGTTTTTTCAAAGACAGGTTCACTCCATCACGGAGGCTGGAGGCTCACTGCAGCTTCAACCTCCCAGGGTCAAGTGATTCTCCTTCCTCAGCCTCCTGAGTAGCTAGGATGCCTGCTAATTAGTTTAATTTGTACAGAAATGGAGTCCCCCTAGGTTGCCGAGGCTGATCTTGAACTCCTAGGCTCAAGTGATCCTTCCACCTGGGCCTTTCAAAGTGCTGGGATTACAGACATGCACCACCATGCCCTTTCGTCTCCCTTCTCTATTGATAAACTTAAAAATTTTGTGAATATACTTCTGATATTTCTTAATATAAACAACTACGCTCACATACATTCTGAAATTTAACACTTCTTAGATAATTTGCAATTTATTCCATATAATTTTCTCCATCTTGACAGGCACTAGATGAATGGCTACTCATTCCAGGGGCATAATCTTATACAGGAGACATTTTTAAACATAGTTTATACAAAGCTTACTATTGATGAGTATGTCCATTGTTTCATTTGAAATTTTTATAACTATAAATAGCATAATCCATATAATTTATTCTGTATTATTACCATTCAATGACTTGATTTTTATCACAACTAGTTTAAGGTAGGTAGTCATTTCATTACACAAAGAAAGACTATTTGTCAGAAAATAAAGTGCTATGAAGATTTTAATTGATTGGACAACTGATTGATTAATCTAGCGAAACAACCATAATGCATACCGGTGAAAAAACTTAGAACAGGAGGAAAGCAACACCTTTTCACATTTAATTTTGCGTGGAAGTCAAATCTCAAATCAGCAGCAGAGCCTGTAATAGATGAGAGCAACCTCTCAGCATGGTATCTAGCAGAAGTCTCCCCTAACTAGACTCTTCTAATTCTCTGATACCATGCCTCTGCTTCCATAGTGCTCATCTATTTTTTCTGTGTTTACCACTTGCCCCTTGCCTTTTTATGTCAATTGTTATCTATAATATACCATTTAAGAGAAAAATTAAAGTTTAATAATTTCAGTACTTGAGCTATAGAGTGAGGTATCAATTTCACATTACTCAAGTAACTTGGCACACATTTAAAATACTAAAGAGTCTTCCAGGCACTCCCCCATAGTGATGGGAAAAGAGAAATCTTAACTCTTTAAAACTCTACTTTCTGCCATCCCTGTTCACCTGGTCTCGCCTAGATATCTCGTCTACCTTGGAAGATAGCCAAATCTATTTCCTTCAGAGAACCTCAGCTTAAATGCATGTTTGATAGGGCCATATAACTTCCCAATTTGCCTCAGAGAATCCTCTTTTATTTAAAGTGTAACATTTGTATTGTGGCTCATTTATCACCATTTTTCTTCACGATTGTTTCTGAATTGATAGTTCATTTTTCAGTTTGAGTGAAGTTGACCTTTAAATAGAAATCAAAGATGTAATTTTTATACTGTTAAAATAGTTGAATGGAAACACAAATGATCATATTAATATAGGCATCTGTGAGTCCAGACTTCTCCTTGGTCAAGAAGCAACTCATTATTTCTAGAGAATCACTAAAGGCAGGATTTGTTTACAATTAGTCTTTTTTTTTTTAATGCAGTGATAGTTAATAGCTATAATATAATGTTGATATTTTGTTGTATTTCTCCTCCCAATATGCTATTATTTATGTATAATCTTTACATTTATGTGAATAACACAACGATAAAGGAATGTAAGGCAGAAAGGGATTGACAGGGATGCTTTTTGCACCCTGTCCCTAACTCTCTCTGACACACAATGTCCACTCTCCTTTACTGTCCTCCAGAAGGTGCAAATGTTTCTTCTCCTTTAATTTTTCTCACCACCACCTCTTTCCTTTATGTGCTTCTTCTACTGCTATACTCCCATCTAGAAAGAGATGTAAATACAACTTTTCTACCAACCCAGAAACTAGTTTACTTGTTTCAATATTTTATGCATAAGACAGACATCATTTTCATAGCCAAATTTCTTGTTTTTGGAAAGATTCTAGTGAAGGCCTGGCATGGTGACTTACACCTGTAATCCTAACACTTTGGGAGGCTGAGGTGGGTGGATCACCCGAGGTCAGGAGTCTGAGACCAGCCTGGCCAACATGGTGAAACTCCATCTCTACTATCAATACAAAAAAATTAGCCAAGCATGGTAGCTCGCGCCTGTAATCCCGGCTACTCGGGAGGCTGAGGCAGGAGAATCACTTGAACCTGGGAGACAGAGGTTGCAGTGAGCGGAGATTGCGCCACTGCACTCCAGCCTGGGTGACAGAGCAAGACTCTGTCAAAAAAAAAAAGAAAAAGAAAAAGAAAAAGATTCTAGTGAAATAAGTCTCAGCTTTGACTGTAGATTATAATCACCTGGGGAACTTTTCCAGCTCCTCAGGAAGCAAAACAGACCAATGAAGTCAGACTCTCTGGGGGTGAGACCCAGGCATCAGCGTTTTCTAAAGCTCCTCAGGTGATTCCAATATGAAACCAAAGGGAAGATCATGACAAAAAAAATGCAGCATTTCTCTAAGGATCATACATCCGCTGTTCAGTGTCACTGCTGATTAAGGGAGAGCCACTGTTCATTTGAGAGGCAATCATGACCCGGAGTACAAAAAGTTTTGTGAATCAATGCCATCAGTTCAATAAAACAAACATTCATCACAAACCTCATTAACCAAACTAGCATTTATAATTACAAATAGTTAAGGTAAAATAATACTTTGAAGAATAAAATAGAACTCTGTATTGACTCTATATTGTGATTAACAAAAAAACCCGTTAAGTGCTAATATTTAAACTACTGATTCAAATTGCAGAATGAAAATCACTAGGAATGATATTCACCCTACCCAAGGAATTTGACTAGTGTGGCATTCATAACAGTTATCTTCCAGATCCATTTAGACTCTGATATTTCATTTTATAGAATTTTTACTTTTATTCACACACAAACTTCTTTAATGGAAATTGCCCATATGTCATACAATACATGATTGACTTATTTTACATTTGCTTAACAGCCTTATTCTTTATTCCATGATTTACAGAGACTTTCTAAGGGCAAAACAGTCAAACAATATCTTAATAACATGATGGTTTTAAAAGGGGACTCAAGGCAAAATGTGAATATGACACTTTAACATTGATTAGCAGATAGTCCGTCTAAAGACTGAATTCAGCACATCAATTTTGTTAGCAATATACACAGATTTTTTTTCCTTACTAGGTAATGGTAAAATTTTACTTTTTATCAGAAAAGTAATTTTTCTAACACATGAAGAATAAGTTAATATGTGTTTACATTTGTATGTGTGATAGAGTTTGAAAATTCAGGTTACTTCTAACTCTTATCATGAAAATATTAAAATTTGTATATTCTTTAATTTGTAAGAGGTGATACCAGCTGTTTCATTATGCATTGTATTTGCTCAGGGATTTAATTCATGTGCCTGGGAGCATATGCTTTTTAGAAAACATTTTAATAAACATTTGGATGTTGTCATACTTATAACTCTGGAGAGAAAGTACACTTTATTATTTTAATTATATTAGCATGTGGCTGTATGGCATTACATTTCCTGAAAAGTTAAATTGACATATTAAATAAATAATGAAAGTATATATGAATTCACACATATCTATATATATTAAAACTGATGCATATTAGAATCCTTAGAGAAAATATAGCAAATATCTTTGCTATAATGTTATGCCCGATTCTATTTGTTATAGCATAATAGTAAGCCAAGTACTGAGCTTGACTTGGTCCAAATATCTTGGTTCATTAATGCAGATTTGCTTTGTTTTAGGTACAATTTTAAAAATAATATCTGAGACAACATTGCTAACATGATACACAAAGATAAAACACAATCTGTTGCTGTTGGAGATCTATTTGTATTAATAATATATATGCTTGCATTCTATTATTTTCAACAACATTCCATGCTATAGACTTCTGCAATAACTGAGATGGAATTTAAGCAGTTGGCATGTGTTTCAGTTTCTGTGAAGTTCACATTTTTCATAATGCATTAAGAAGAAGAACTATTACTAAAAGCTCATTTATGTTATGGACATAGGCAAGTATGACAAGCAAGGCCTAGTTAACAACATGATTGTGCAAAGCCATGAGGAGAGAGAGCCTATAAACAAAACCTGTTGCAGGAGCACAGTAAATTCTAGGGGACTTACCCAAAAGCATTAAAAGAAAATCCAATGTGGTGAGTAGAACACTGGAGGATCTGACAGCACACTACAGACCATCATTCATTGAGCACTTGGCAGCGTAAGATGAGATTGCTGGTAGTGCAATCTCACAGTAGGTGGTGCAAACAGCGAGGATTCCAGAGGAGATTCCAAAAATAGAGGCAGCATCATGGAATTTCACCAGCTGATATAAAGACAACAGTCATAACAGTTTGGAGGAGGATTGAGTAACTTGGAGTTGGAATGGTGAGAGAATAAAACTAGCAAAACCAAACAGTGTCTAAACGTCAATTATTGAAGTGGGACAGTAGGCAAGGATGACGCATCAGGTATAAAGAAGTCTAATTAGAGCCACGCAACAGGCCTAGTGTCAGTGTCAACATAAGCATCAATAATTGCTGAGCACCAACATTCATACCTCCTTCCTGACTCAGGCAAGATTGGTTTTGGATATACTGGGGCAGAGCTCAGAACTCTGGGGATGGAAAGGGAAGGGTTCAAATGGTCTGAGACAGGAAAAAAGAGAAATACAAAGGCTGTGAACCAGACAGCATTCCATGTGAGTAGCAGAATTCAAGAAACAACTAACAACATAAATTGTATTTGTGTGGATGCAACTTTTAGAAAAATCTGCAGTCACACTTCTGCATGGTACAGAGAAGTCAGAATTGGGGTTTTACATTCTTACCGTGCAAGTCTTTGTGAATATTGTAAATAACCAGAGATGTTCATACTAAACTTTTGCGTAATAGAAAAATGACTGAGTGTTCTATTCTGTTAAGAAATCTAGGTGTGCACAATTTCTTCAATGGCATGTTATCACTTACATCAAGACAAATACATAAGGAACTCAGATACCCACTTTTATTTTGTCTAAGAAGCCAGGGGGCAATGCATTTTCTATAGATTCAAATATACATTACCTATCCTTCACACAAGAATTATAACTATAACCATTAAAATATTTAAAAATGAAGATATTTTTTCTCCATCTACATGTTGGTGAGCTTGAATTATATCACATCCCAAACATTAATTTTATTTTCTCCTGGGTTTTATTTGAGAAAATTTGCATTTTGGGAAGAAGCAAAGAATGGTTTATAAAATTAGGTAATTTAAAACAAACCATATAATCTTAACCAAAATTTCTTTTTTCCTAATGCTATATTAAAAATGTATATGTAGTAATGAAATTTTAGGTTTTGATGTATGGCATTCAAAGGAAAAGCAAGATAATCAGTATCAATAAGATTGTTTCCTGTTTCTATGAAATATAGAGCTAAATATATACAAAATTTTCAATAGTGCTATCATAAATACATATTTTTTAATTGTAGTCATTGAAGTAAAAGTTTACCTATTTTTCACTATCTAATTTTTTTGTAAAAGTACAAATTAATCTTCATAGCTTTCACTATATATATAGCACTGCTTTCACAGCTTTTAGCAGCCTAATCATTCTTCTGTTGTTCCAAAGAGGCTTTATTTCATTTGAGCAGACTGTTTTAAATGCTTCTTTTTAAAAATTAAGTTATATCTTTAAGAGAAGGTGCAGTTTTTGTATCACTTATTTGACATCAAGGAAGGAGGTTTTCTTTTAACCTCCTTGTAGCCTACATGTCAATAAATAATAGGCTTCTGCTATTTAACCTATAAAAAAATCATTTATTATCACCTCACTCTTGTCCAACATAAACTTGTTAAAAACTGCAGTTTGTAAATATTTATCATGAAACAAAATGGTGAAAGGGACAGTACACTTTTAATTTTCAGGTAGCAGGCTGATATTTATGCAATTTAACATAATCGGACTGCTGAGGCTTTAAAAATATAGGCTTTCTTGAATTTGTCATGTTTTGTGAATCTTTCTCTCCTTGCATAACAAAACACTCTGTTTACTCTCTATGGAAAATTACTCAAAACTCTTTTTCTCAGGCAGCTGTAGTTTTGGCCAAAGCTTCCACGAGATGCAAAATTGGACCTAGTATCAATGAGGACAGTAGAAAGAACTATTGTTGTTAACTGATCATAGCTCCTTAAGTGAAAATGTTAGGAGACCAAACACAGGCCTTTGAAATATGAGGGAGGCAGTCTTTAAAGATGTGGCGTGTTACTTATAAAATGAAATAAAATTCCACATTTTAGAAACTCAGTTACTTCAAGGTGTTGATTTTAGGTCCTTAATCTTTTTTTTTTTTTGCTCCTTCTCTCTTCATTCCAAAGGCTTTCCTCTGTGTGATCTCTTTCCCCCAAGAAAACTTTCCACTGAGTTGAAAGCTTGGGAACTCTTAAGTTTAGATGAATGATAATGAGCATTGTCAAAGAGGCAGTAAAATTGAGTCCTTGGTTCTGGCTGTTGAGCTGAGAGCTGCAGGAGTTAATTGTGTGAATGGTAATGAGACCAGGGAGGCAGCAGATGCTCGCGTGCCTTTACAATCCAAATCCCACCAACAAATTCCTCCCACAGAAACTTTGAGGGACATCTTGGCACCCTGGAGATGGAGATAGACCCAGCCATAGCCACATGCCACCTGCTAGACCTATTGTTAAAAGAAAAAAAAGCACATTACAATAACAAAGTTGTTTGCTGTCTTTTGCAATGACTTTATGGCACCGGTTTTACCATACTAGAGGAATGGAACATCTGATTCTTTATGAAGAACTATCTGCACCCTAAACAGTTAATGACTTAACATGTAAAGACTGATGTTCACTATATCATACATACTCTTCTGATAAGCCATGCCTGCCATTTTCTCTTATAACTCCCCCCGAGGCTGTCTATTCTACAGCAGATTTGCAAAACTATATAGTTTTTGATGACCTTCAGAAAAGGGGCCATTTTTGCTCCTACAGAAAAAAAAAAAAGGGCTTAGAGTTGTTATAAATACATATCTTTAAATAAAAACCACTTTGGAAAAATGCTCTGAATGACCCATTTTTATTGAGTTTGAGTTGTTGCCCACTATCCTTTAGTAGTAATAATTTGCTACGTATCTAAGATGAGGAAGGCCAGAATGCCTTGTTTAACAAAATGAATGATCAGAATGAAGGCAAGAAAAATTAAAAGTGGTTCTCACACACTGGCCCTGGAGGTGTGTGTGGCGGTGTTTTCCATATGGCAATTTAGGACTCTCCATGAGGATAGTTAAATGGTGTAAAATTGTAAGAAAGTCTACTATTGATTAGTTACTTTCACTTTTGAGGGTGTATATACCTGATTTTTAGAAACCTTGGTATATATTCCTTGTATGAAATAATAGGCCTAGTTCCAGTATTAGAAAACAGGGTTCATTTAAATGGCAACTGCAGATAGGGCAGATTTGTGCTGTTTACGCCACCCCAGGAAAGAGGCTCCCTGTCTCTGTCTAGGTTAAACAAAAGCTGCTTACGTCCCGTCCTCACTTTTTGTTCAGCTAGTTGACCCTCATTATTATAAAAGCAATTAGTTAGGCTGGAATTTCTGAATTCATTATAGAAAACCTTTGACGACCTTGTGTTAATAGTACAGATTTTAGATTGAAATATTTATTTGCTTTGCAAGTTTATATCATTATCAATTCAGGTTTTGGCTGCATAAGTGCTGTGATGCTGGATTATTCTGTTTGTAAAGACCCAAGATTCTATAGTAAATAGAAAACTGTGTTCTTTTCATAACAATAAAATATGTGCTTCTGACTTACTGAGAAGTCAGAAATGGAAGCATGTGGGAGCAATATGTAAATGCCAAGAAAGCTGTTTATACTGGGATATGTTCCTGCATAATAATCATAATCCAATCCTAGCAGAAACCTTTTGAATTTAAAACGTTGTCGAGTTACAGCAAAACAGAAAGAACCACAGCAAGTGTTGCAGTTGCTGATTATTTGTGAGAAAGCTAAAATATGTTTACTTTTGATCTTTTTTTTTAAATCGGGAATTTCTGTATAAGTTTATCATTCTCCAGTAAGATCATTTTAAATATTTTATTGTGATTTAGTGAACTGCTCTAGAAAAAAGGGGGGACATTTTGAGATTCATTTTTATTTGGAAAGTTAAATCCAATACTTTTGGCTGAGCAAGGTAAAGCACATTTGCTTGCCTTAAATTATATTGCCTTCTTTACCAAACATGTTAGAGTCTTTCATTTAGCCTCACAGCCAGAAGCGGACTTTCCAGAAAAGTGTGTCAAAATAAATAATACATTGAATACTCAAAGTAAAACTGGGTATCCAGGTACACTTTTTATGTCTTCCTCCCAAATTTAGGATCCAATCCATTATTCAAGAAAATATACGTGGAGAGTGACTTGTCACTGCAAAGACATGATGGTACAATGACAAAACATCAAAGAGCTGTTGAGTGGGAAGTAGGTTTCTTTGATCTCAGGTCAGTATCTCCTGCACTGCATTATGCTCCTCCCTTGTGTCAGTCTCCTGATTGGCTTTAACTCAACGTTTGGAGTGTTTCTGATTGCAACATAAGTAAGAATCTGAATGTCTACTCTCGTTTTTCCAACTTCTCACTTTTTGTTCATACCTTTTAATCTAAAGATGATTCAATTGTATTTCCTTTAGTATGAGCCTAGTCACAGGGAAGCAGTACATGGTATGTGAAGATATCATACCTAAGGTATGTGGGGTGTATTTAGAGCCAGTAAAAAGACCCAGTCTTACCTCCTCAGTTTTCTCCCACCTCTGCCTAAAAATCACTTCAATTAAGCCTGTAGCACTGATTATTTTGAAGGGTATCATCCAAAGAAAAAAGCAGATTTTTTTCTTGCAGAGGTTGAAATATTTTTTCACAAGACAAATCACCTTAATGTATATTGATTGTCTTTCCCCCATAGCTTAACAATTTTGGAAAATAAAAGAATTTAAAAATATGACAGAGTTTTTCACTTAATATTTAAGAAACAAGTCGTTATTACTGTATAGAAGTAGAATTTGGAGACAAACATAAGTATAAAAATTCAATATCTACTATATATTAGCCATGTTTTAGGCAAAACTTTGTGAGTCTTAAATTCCTTAAACATAAAATAATTCTAGGATTAATGTGGCTGACACAACTTGTTCTCCATTTAATATCCACTCTCTAATCCACTTTGTTAAATGAACACTATATTTTAGGACTTTGCCCTTCAGGAAGGAAAGGAGCTATTCCTCTCCTCCAAGACTGAAACTTTCTAGTCTAGGTAGGCCAATTATAACAGCTTTATTCTCCTTGTTAGAGATTGGTTAATAAAGGTCATGTGACACAATTTTGACCAATGAGCTTTAAGAGCATATCAGTAGGAAACTACTAGAAAACATTTTATTTCTTGATGAAAGAAGATTAGGTGATGCTGTCTTTTTTGTAACTCTATATTCAGCTAAGTGGAGATATATTTTCTAGAACTGTAGCAGCTGTCTTGGAATCATGAATGAACCCAAGAAAACAGAACAAGCCAGCACATTGAATATCAAATAGCAGAAAGATGGGAGACACCTGGTTTGTGATGGCATTATTGAGCTGCTCAATATTCAGTGTTGAAAATGTCCTATCACTGTGTATCTCCTGTTTTGAAATAATAAACTTCCTTTTTTTGACAATTTTAGCCAAGTTCTATTATTATATCCCACATGTTTCTAACAATCATAAATATTTCATTATTAAAATTATAGTAAGAATTAAAGGAAATATATGTGTAGCTCACTTGGCACTCAATATGGTTCAATAACTATTATCTTTATTTTTATTATGGTCCAAGACCTTTACATTCAAATGCTAGGTGAGATGTAACTATTATAGATGGTATTTTTTATATCAGTAACACAGTCCACGTGTAAACTGTAAATTTGCCCTCTTAACTAAATGGGAGCCTACTTTGAAGCTTAAATTCTTTTGGATAGAGAATATGAGCTATAATTGATTAGTTTATTACAATTAAAATAACTTACCCAAATTAAAAATAAATACTAGACGATAATAAAAGAGGCACTATATTGTTACAAATGGTGGGCTGCTATGAGTCTCGTAGGAAATAGGCATTATTTTCAGTGAAGGTCTAACAACTCTCCTCAGTCTCATTCCCTTTGAAATATTTTCTATTTAATTCACATACATTCAGATACTTATTATGTAAAACCTATATGTGAACTGTTTATTCTCTTTGTAAGTGTAAGTGAGTAAAGAAATGGTAAGCACATGCATTTTCAGAGATCAACTTTATAGCTAAGTATCTACTAGATGTTCTTAATCTCTATCATTTATTTCCTTTATTTTATGAAATTTTAGTTATTTTTTGATGAAAGTTGCTTTTGGAGAGAATACTTTGAACTTTTTTCTTTTTCTTGTAAAATTAAGCATCCCTCAATTTTATAACACTGCTGTTAACTGTATACACTACAAATATCCTTGATTGCTCCTTGTTAAAAGTGTTTCAATTGATGGATGATAAACCTAAAGTGAATAACTTCTTACAAATTCTAAGTAAATAAGAAATTGGACCATGAAGTTGCATGGTATTTACTAATAATTTTTATGCATATTTGATGCCGATACTTATCACTTATCCAAGCTTAACATACTATATTAAAACCTTTCAAAAAGTTTCAAAAAAGTTTCAAAAACTTTCAAAAAGTTTTAATCTTACCTAATATATCCTAAAATATCATTGACTTGGTTTTTGTTATTTAAGTGGATGCTCATATTTCTGAATGATAACAGTTCTCCTTTACATTATAAAAACTTTTTTCTTGAGAGTAGATGCCAGTCTATGAACAGTGTGATACTCCTAGTTGGAACAACAAAAAATGGTTGGATAAATTAGCTATTTATTAAGAGCATCCAGAAGTATCATACATGAAGTGTATTTTAACATGAACACAAAGAGTCAGACATTGGCAATAAACTTTCTGTCACACTTTGATTTGTATTCTTAATTCTGAGCTGGAAGTATTTAAGGATAAAATAAACTGTATTCTCAAGATTTGCTTTGCCGCATGATAAAAGAATGATAAACGAAGGAATGTTGCCATGAAGAAAACATAAAGCAAACTTGTGATTTATATGTACTTCACAAATATGAAACACTCAACCAGAGATTCCTAAACATATACATATGCACAAGTATACAAATAAATATTATGACATTGGAGATATTTTCACCTTCGGAAATAGCTCTTCCAAAAGTATTATTAGATCTCTTTTTCTAAAAAGCGTTTTCCTTGCTGATGGAAACTGTACTGCCTAATGGATAAACTGGGTGATAGCTGCTATAAAACCTTAGATCCAGAGGGAAGCTTAATTTCCCTTCTCTTTCTGTGAATTTAACTAAACAGAGAAGTTTTCTTATATCACTTCTACTTATATTCTTGAATTAATGAGGTCTTAGCTCTGGCCCTTTTTCTGGTAATCTTCTCCATGTGCCAATTATCTCTAAACTCCCTGGAGGAGAAAAATCTCACAGCACATAAGATTTAAGTACCATCATGTCAGAAGTTTCACCACTTCACTCAGTAGATTACTCTTCTTAGCAATGTCTCAAAATTTAATGTGCATAGGAATCACCAGAGGACCTTATTAAAATGCAGAATTTGTTGATGGACATTTGGGTTGGTCAAGAAATTCTGCATTTTAATAAGGTCCTCTGGTGATTCCTATGCACATTAAATTTTGAGACATTGCTAAGAAGAGTAGTCTGAATGAAGTGGTGCAACTTCTGACATGATGGTACTTAAATCTTATGGATTAAGAAAATGTGGCACATATACACAATGGAATACTATGCAGCCATAAAAAAGGATGAGTTCATGTCCTTTGTAGGGACATGGATGAAGCTGGAAACCATCATTCTGAGCAAACTATCGCAAGGACAGAAAACCAAACACTGCATGTTCTCACTTATAGGTGGGAATTGAACAATGAGAACACTTGGACACAGGGTGGGGAACATTACACACCGGGGCCTGTTATGGGGTGGGAAGAGCGGGGAGGGGTAGCATTAGGAGATATACCTAAAGTAAAGGACGAGTTAATGGGTACAACATACCAACATGGCACATGGATACATATGTAACAAACCTGCACGTTGTACACATGTACCCTAGAATTTAAAGTATAATTAAAAAATAAATAAATAAATGTAGAATTTGTTTAAGTAGGTCTGGGGTACCGTCTGAGACTCTACATTTCTAACAAGCTTACAGCTAATGCCCATGCTGCTGCTTTAAAGCCCATACATTGAATGGCAACGCTTAAACTAAAAATTGAGACTCAAGTCACCTAAGGGTTTAGTCTCCCCACCACCCATTTCCACAAATCTTCTCAGCTGCAACTATAGGAAGACGCTTTGTAGGCTTAGTTTTTTGCCTCAAGGTACTGTACTGAAAGGAAAGAATTTAAGGAATTCAGATGAATAATCCTAAAAGTCAATTTAAAAGTCAATTTTGCTGCCATCTAGTTTAACTTTGCAATCTGGTCTCCAATTGTGAGGAGGCTTTTCGTATGTGCCCATTTACAAAACACTGAACTTCTAGGTGCCTGTTTTGTTCTTCCTGTTTTAATCCTGAATTTCATAACCTGCCTTGTTTGGAAGTCCTGAAGGAAGTCGTATTGTTTGGAATAGCAGCTCACCTACATGCCTTTCATCTGGACTCAATAGATTGCCTTTTGCCAGACCCTAAGTCACCTGCTGGAACTTGGCATATTACCTTTGGCAGAACATCCTAAATACTGATTGCCCACTAAGACAAAATTGACCTAGCACCTGTCACTGTATTTCACGGACTCCAACTCTTCTTGGCCCCTGGTTTGTGCTGCCTCACAGCCCTAGCACAGCTATGCTTCCAGGTGCGTGGGCCTCCTGTGGGTGCTTAGCACATTCAGTTTTGATCAGAATTCAACTAAAGTCTATTTCTGTTACACACATCTAAAGATAGTTTGGGATCTATTTTCATTTCCCAACCTTTGATCTTATGTTGATAAATTTTGTCTCATAAAGAGTTCATATTGTTTGGTGACTTTTCATTATTATATTCTTAAATCTATTAGTAAATGGAATAAAGGAAGAACAACATAGAGAGATGTAATGTGATTGACAAAAGGCCTAAGGTTGGTTTTTAAATAAAAATCTTATTTGACAAATTTTATATTTCCTTGTCACTACCACGATACATCAAATCATATCCTTTTGTCTTCCTGCTACAGTTTCACATGAAATTTAAAGAAACAACTGTTTAGTGCAAAAGCCTTGAGAACAGGCAAATAGTAGATGTGTATACTATCAAATATAAAAGAAAAATAAACACCTGGTAGACTTCTAATTGTATTTGTAGATATGTTTCTATGGTTTAGGGCCTGGAGGTATAGTTGAGTATAGTTGGTAGGTATTGGAATTTTATTCAGGAAAGCAGCAAGTTTTCAAGACCATCACAGTTCAATACTATTATTTTTGTCAATTATGTTTCACAGGTGACCTTTATAAGTCAAGATGAAGAGAGCTTTATCTTTTCAACATAAAATTATGTATGCATCTAAACCAAAAGTCTGAGAAGTACCAAGTTCTGCGGCTATAATCCACATTTTGTTCTTCTTCAATGAATGTTAGGAGGAAAACAGACACACACAGGTTAAGAAAAGGAAACTAACCTTTGTTGTGTGTTTACTGGGCCAGCCTTTGTGGAAAGCCCCAGTCATCGAAATTCTTAAAAGAATTTTTTAGAGTAAATTATTACTCCCACCTCATGGAGGATTATACATTTGCAGAGAAGTTAAATAATTTGTCCAGGATTACATAACTGCCAACTGGTGGTACCCACAGTTGTTGGGCTCATACAAAAAGCCAAGCAAGCTCTTTATCTTAAGCAGGTCTATAGTCTTGGAATTCCTTAACTTTACTAACCTTTGTCTGGAAAAGCCTTTGTCCCTAATTTCCCAGGATGCAGAGTAATTATTTAAGCTTGTTACAGCCATATGGTGCCAAGCAGGACCATGATTTTCTTCTATGTTTCACAACAAATGCTGTGAGGAAAGATTGTGAACTATACCAATCAATCAGAAGATTGTAAGTCTCACGCCATTATTTTGACATATAGTGAGATAAAAGTGAATATTTATTAACCTACCTTTTAATCTCATATGCTCTAATAAAATATAAATTAATAGCAAAAAATCAAAAAACAAAATACATATCTGCGTGTAAGGAATTTTAGTGACTTTCATCTTGTATTCCAGTACCAAAAGAGACACTTTGCTTCATGTAATGCAGATAAATTTGAGCCTTACAATTGAGTTCTATGTTTTCCTTCCTCTTGAATAGGAACAAAATCATTCAAAATTTAGAATTATAAAGCTTAATTTTCCTTAGAACAAAAGTAATAAAAGTAAATGGCATGGTGAAAGTGTTATTAGAGGTGAAAGGATGTATTGTAAATGCCGGTTGATATCTTTTATCTAGGTTTAGCAGTTTTCTGCCCAATTAAACTGAAGTGGTAAAAGGAGCTTCATAGATAAAATATGCACAACAGGATGGATGTATCTGCGATTTGCCTCTAGAAGCTTAGAAGCACTTTGCTGCTGTGCTTAACATCACTCAAGAGGGCACAGTCTTCAAGAGGACCCACTTCCTTTCTTTGGCAACAAAGACTGCCATATCAAAAGAGGGTGGACTTTAAGAAACATTCAATCAACTCTCCCTTACTGGTTATCTGAAGTTGTTTTAGAGGGTCTACCCCTTTTTCATGACTTCATCAAATTCCAGAAGGATGAAGTTCAACCAGGTCATCATTAGATAACAGCTAATAGAAGTTTATCAGTTTTTCTCCCCTGATATAAACCCTTTCATGGATAGTAAATAGTTTGGGAGATAGTTTTATGTTATCTTTTCAGGGATACCAAATGAGGAAAATTTAAATTGTTAGAACTAGTGATACAATATTACAAAGAAAAGATTTATTTTTAATTCTGTACTTTTGGGGAAAAAAACATAAAGAACAGATCAGTGCATAACAAGGATAAATCGAAAGCACATCACTTTTGAGTAGATACATGTGACTTCTCAGGAAGAGATTGGGAAGCTGAAAAGGAAATAATATGTGGTAAGGATGATATTGCAAGTGAAAAAAGCCACTGTTGGTGAAAGAATGCCAAGTTCTTTAAATACTTACTCATAGAAACATATCATTTTGGAGGATATATTATTTTACAAGTTATTTAATATTTCAGTAAGTTACAGTGAAGCTCTTTTTCACAATGATTATTTCTGTTCAAGCCCACTGTCAGAAATAAAAGAGCTTTTTATTATTTTTACTTTTTAAGCATAAAAAAAATCCGTATCAAGGTAATCAAATCGATTGCTCTTGAAGTTTTTTGGGGGGTAGACTTATCAAATTCTGAAAGAAAATTTTCCTAGAACTAATGGAATTAGGTTACCTTTGAATTCTCACCCCAACTTTGAATAGTCACTAAT
Source organism: Homo sapiens (assembly GCF_000001405.40). NCBI lineage: Eukaryota > Metazoa > Chordata > Mammalia > Primates > Hominidae > Homo > Homo sapiens. The sequence continues at coordinate 137,534,364 of NC_000004.12, read as the reverse complement.
TCCTTTCTTTGCTCTTTTGGTGTTTGCAAAGGGGTTCGCTAAAGCCTGAATTGATATAATTATTGGCTCAGATTGTTAGAGATCTAGGCCAGATGGCTATGGGTTTCTAAAGTCCCCCTTGCTTGTGGTAGTTTTCCTAGTTTGCCTATAGGGTTTGGGGATCAGCAATTTGAAAGGGCTACAAACTTGTAAAACAGTATTATTCATGGGGGCAGAATGTTCATCAGCGTGACCCAGTACTAAATACATTCATTATAGGCATTTCTATTCTGCACAATTTGCCACACAGCACTGATTTCAGGAGGGGGAAAAAAAGACAATGGCTTATAAAATGCTTTTGAATGCCTAAAAAGAAGGAGAATTCACGCTGAGACTCCTCTGCTTTCTTTTTTGGAAAGAGCCTTCTTAGTGACTTTAGCTGAGCTCTGCTGAGAGTAAGCAAAGTGGAAAAATCAGAAAATTACTTTTTTTATATGTTTCTGGGGGGCAAAATAGACAGTGAGAAAAAATAAATGGAAAAAAGTGACAATGACATTCTGTGAAACAGCAAATATGCAAGCGGATGAAGACAGCTGAGGAATAAGGAAAAAGGTATGAAAAAAAGCAGCAAAAATGGAGCCACGATGATAAACTTAAAAGGAATTGCAGAGCAGAAAGAACATCATAAATAATCATATTTTCAAATAAGAATACCGTATCAGTTTCTGTGACCTGGATAGAGCACAAGCCTCCCATGATATTTCCTAGCATTTTGATGCATACAAAATGCAATTTTCAGCTCAGGCATTTGATTTGTCAGTGTAAACAACCTTTGGGGTTTTTAAAATACATATCTGAAGTGTTTTCATAAATAATGCATATATTATAAAAATTTGACTTGTAAACTATTGAGTCCATGTCCCCCCTGTATTCACTGCAAAGACTAGCCATGTATAGATAGTGCCTTTTGGTAGAAATTGGCATGCTAAAGCTTGCAGTGTCTTTTACCCAAGATAAATAGGATTTTTTTGAAGTACAGGACAAAGAAATATTACAAACAATTTTGCCCAAACTCAAGGAAAGAAATCATACAAGGTAGAACTATATTGTTAATTAGTTCCAAATTCTGAGGTGTTCCCTTAAGTCTTGCTAATTAAGAGAAATGAAGAGTGCAAGATAGCCCTTTTTTTATCTTCAAAGAATAAAGATGAAAGAAAACAGAAAATGAAACCTCTTTACTTGCTCCGTTCTTTAAAAACAGAGCCCCAAGAAAATCTGCTTGTGCTCCTGGAAGGAGAAAGGCCCAAGTATTTACAGAGGGAGTGGGGAAGGAGGTGGTCTGAGAAGCATAATTAGAAGCAAGTTTTCAAATTGTATTAAATTCCTCCACCAACAAAACGCACTTAGAGGTATTTTAAGTTAAACTAGCACTTAAGGACTATGAAAAGCAAGATGATTACATGTCTGTGGCAGAAGAAAGGGCAATTAAGAAAACAAGAAGAATTTAACGTGCCATATAAATAAAGGCGACCAGAAGTTGATTTAAAGTTTTTCTTCTGTAATTTGTCTCCCCTTTGTCATGGCACGCTCAGAGAAAGTGAATGCAGTAGATTGAAAGGCGGAGGGGGAGTGGGGAGGAAGAAGGAAGGAACAGGGAAGGACTGGCTCCCATCTCCTCCCCCAGCCCCCACCAGCCCATCTCCCCTTCTCTCCCTCGCGCACCCACCCCCGCCTTCCTCCTTCTCCGTCTCTTTCTCTCTCCCACCCTCCACTCTCGCCCTCCCTCCTTGGGTGACTCCATCAGCTTTTGATTTGGAAGCACGCTGATTGGCTGGAAGCGATTCAACACACGCTGGGCAAGAGCTTTGTCTGAGTTGAAGTGAAGTTGTACAGATTTTAGACTGGAGTCAGCAATCACGGGTGTTTAGTCTGCAGCCGAGCAGCTAAAGGGAGAAAGAATCGCTCAGGAAAGACACACTGCAGACTCCACCGGCACCCTGCAATAGATGGATTCCGACTACACAAGGGAGAAAACGCGGAGGTGACACTCTCCTGCCTGGAAAGAGGACGAACGACCAAACAAACGCAAGGACTGGACTCCATGCCGAAGGTATCTGGAAGTCGTGACACGGTGTGTATAAAACAAAAGTTTGCGAGCTGTTAATTGCTGTGCTGTGTTATTAAGAGACGCTTTCAAGTTTCAAGTACCAAATGTAGCTTTACGTTGCCAAAGGAAGTTGAGGCAATTGCTTTGCTGTTTTAACTTGCTCTGTGAGGGAAATCTCATAAACTGACCAATGCACCAAATGAATGCTAAAATGCACTTTAGGTTTGTTTTTGCACTTCTGATAGTATCTTTCAACCACGATGTACTGGGCAAGAATTTGAAATACAGGATTTATGAGGAACAGAGGGTTGGATCAGTAATTGCAAGACTATCAGAGGATGTGGCTGATGTTTTATTGAAGCTTCCTAATCCTTCTACTGTTCGATTTCGAGCCATGCAGAGGGGAAATTCTCCTCTACTTGTAGTAAACGAGGATAATGGGGAAATCAGCATAGGGGCTACAATTGACCGTGAACAACTGTGCCAGAAAAACTTGAACTGTTCCATAGAGTTTGATGTGATCACTCTACCCACAGAGCATCTGCAGCTTTTCCATATTGAAGTTGAAGTGCTGGATATTAATGACAATTCTCCCCAGTTTTCAAGATCTCTCATACCTATTGAGATATCTGAGAGTGCAGCAGTTGGGACTCGCATTCCCCTGGACAGTGCATTTGATCCAGATGTTGGGGAAAATTCCCTCCACACATACTCGCTCTCTGCCAATGATTTTTTTAATATCGAGGTTCGGACCAGGACTGATGGAGCCAAGTATGCAGAACTCATAGTGGTCAGAGAGTTAGATCGGGAGCTGAAGTCAAGCTACGAGCTTCAGCTCACTGCCTCAGACATGGGAGTACCTCAGAGGTCTGGCTCATCCATACTAAAAATAAGCATTTCAGACTCCAATGACAACAGCCCTGCTTTTGAGCAGCAATCTTATATAATACAACTCTTAGAAAACTCCCCGGTTGGCACTTTGCTCTTAGATCTGAATGCCACGGATCCAGATGAGGGCGCTAATGGGAAAATTGTATATTCCTTCAGCAGTCATGTGTCTCCCAAAATTATGGAGACTTTTAAAATTGATTCTGAAAGAGGACATTTGACTCTTTTCAAGCAAGTGGATTATGAAATCACCAAATCCTATGAGATTGATGTTCAGGCTCAAGATTTGGGTCCAAATTCAATCCCAGCCCATTGCAAAATTATAATTAAGGTTGTGGATGTTAATGACAATAAACCTGAAATTAACATCAACCTCATGTCCCCTGGAAAAGAAGAAATATCTTATATTTTTGAAGGGGATCCTATTGATACATTTGTTGCTTTGGTCAGAGTTCAGGACAAGGATTCTGGGCTGAATGGAGAAATAGTTTGTAAGCTTCATGGACATGGTCACTTTAAACTTCAGAAGACATATGAAAACAATTATTTAATCTTAACTAATGCCACACTGGATAGAGAAAAGAGATCTGAGTATAGTTTGACTGTAATCGCTGAGGACAGGGGGACACCCAGTCTCTCTACAGTGAAACATTTTACAGTTCAAATCAATGATATCAATGACAATCCACCCCACTTCCAGAGAAGCCGATATGAATTTGTAATTTCAGAAAATAACTCACCAGGGGCATATATCACCACTGTTACAGCCACAGATCCTGATCTTGGAGAAAATGGGCAAGTGACATACACCATCTTGGAGAGTTTTATTCTAGGAAGTTCCATAACTACATATGTAACCATTGACCCATCTAATGGAGCCATCTATGCCCTCAGAATCTTTGATCATGAAGAAGTGAGTCAGATCACTTTTGTGGTAGAAGCAAGAGATGGAGGAAGCCCGAAGCAACTGGTAAGCAATACCACAGTTGTGCTCACCATCATTGACGAAAATGACAACGTTCCTGTGGTTATAGGGCCTGCATTGCGTAATAATACGGCAGAAATCACCATTCCCAAAGGGGCTGAAAGTGGCTTTCATGTCACAAGAATAAGGGCAATTGACAGAGACTCTGGTGTGAATGCTGAACTCAGCTGCGCCATAGTAGCAGGTAATGAGGAGAATATCTTCATAATTGATCCACGATCATGTGACATCCATACCAACGTTAGCATGGATTCTGTTCCCTACACAGAATGGGAGCTGTCAGTTATCATTCAGGACAAAGGCAATCCTCAGCTACATACCAAAGTCCTTCTGAAGTGCATGATCTTTGAATATGCAGAGTCGGTGACAAGTACAGCAATGACTTCAGTAAGCCAGGCATCCTTGGATGTCTCCATGATAATAATTATTTCCTTAGGAGCAATTTGTGCAGTGTTGCTGGTTATTATGGTGCTATTTGCAACTAGGTGTAACCGCGAGAAGAAAGACACTAGATCCTATAACTGCAGGGTGGCCGAATCAACTTACCAGCACCACCCAAAAAGGCCATCCCGGCAGATTCACAAAGGGGACATCACATTGGTGCCTACCATAAATGGCACTCTGCCCATCAGATCTCATCACAGATCGTCTCCATCTTCATCTCCTACCTTAGAAAGAGGGCAGATGGGCAGCCGGCAGAGTCACAACAGTCACCAGTCACTCAACAGTTTGGTGACAATCTCATCAAACCACGTGCCAGAGAATTTCTCATTAGAACTCACCCACGCCACTCCTGCTGTTGAGGTAAGATCATAAACCGCATCAATTCATTGCAATGTTAGGTGTTAGTGTTCAGGAATTGTGTTTACTAGTTCTTAAATGTTTTCATTAATAAGTAACAATACTAATACTGTGCAAATTAAGTAGGATACAAGTTACATTGTGAATATGTAGCAAAGATGCACACTTTAGCATACTGTTTTTAGTTTTCCTTAAGTAAATAACTTCATATAATATGTGTAATATTGAAAAATAAATGTGAAGGTCACAAAGGACTATGTAATTAGAGTCCCCTTGCTTCCCAGATTAAAATAATGGGAAGCCAAAAAGTAGAGACTTGCTTTATTTTCAAGGTTATAGTCTTTACTGAACAAATAAAAAAACTGAGGCCTTCAGACTTCTATTTCAATGCATGCTATGTTTGTCCAAGTTTGGAAGATTTCCTGACATTTTTTAAACTACATGCATTGCAGTGTTGTATTTTACAGTATTTTCCATGTATTTTTACAGGTGGTCACTTTGTCTGAATTATAAAGAAAATAAATCAGTTATTTGAAAGGGAGTCTTCTTTCACAAAGTAAAAGTCAGTTGTATTAGGTCATCCAAATCTCTCTGAGATATATTTTAGTTATAGTTGGTAGCTGGCTGCGTGGTCCGCCACAGTCCAGCATTTGCAAATCTTTTAAATAGAGAGAATATATTCAATTACTTAGTTGAAATAGCAAGCAACTGTTTTTCTTGCTTAAAGATTGTGAGTGTTTGGAGGCTTGTTTCCGGGAATCAGTTCTGTCTATTTGGTTTCCAGCAGGTCTCTCAGCTTCTTTCAATGCTTCACCAGGGGCAATATCAGCCAAGACCAAGTTTTCGAGGAAACAAATATTCCAGGAGCTACAGGTATGAATTATTCTTGTGTTACCTATTAAGTTTCAACATAAATGCTGAAGAGTAAAAACTGTAATTTTTTTTTGTGATTTATCTTTCCAGATATGCCCTTCAAGACATGGACAAATTTAGCTTGAAAGACAGTGGCCGTGGTGACAGTGAGGCAGGAGACAGTGATTATGATTTGGGGCGAGATTCTCCAATAGATAGGCTGTTGGGTGAAGGATTCAGCGACCTGTTTCTCACAGATGGAAGAATTCCAGCAGGTAAGAGGGTAGTGATAGAAAATCTTTATTTTCAGGTCTACCGTGACACCAGTAAAATGAAAAATTTCTCTCATGCTTATATTTCTTCTTTATTTGTCCCTTGCACTAAAGTATTTATAATATGTTTTATAGTATGTTCATCACTGTTTAGTAATGAACAGAAACTGAAACATTTTAACACTGTTTTCTTAAATTTCATTAAGCGGTTGGAAGAGAACGAGTAAGCATGACAGCTTCATAGGACAAGAAGAAAGGGGTGGGGAAAAATCAAAAAAACAAACACTTTCCCCCTCTTTCCACCTCATCCGATACAGCCATAGAACACGGTTGTGTAACTCTTTGCAAAATTATTGGGTGGTGGTTTTTATTCAGTTAAACTGTTTTGGCGCAGAGTGGTGAACCGGACTGTAATTTGGAGGATGCATTTCCTGTGATGGGCACCAACTCACAAAATCAGAGACTAAAATACACTGGAAATTGTACACTTCAAGCATTAAAAATAGGAGAAGGAATGCATCTTTGTAGGTGGTAAGCACAGAATATTTTTGCCAACATTTCATTTTGCTATAGTAGAAGAGGCACAGGGACCCAAGAGTGGAATTTTTAAGTACACAGCTAGATAGAAGAGATGCTATTAAGTTTCGAACCACGTTTTCCTTGGAGTTCCTTCCCTCTAATTCTGCAATAGGAACTCTCTGAACTGACTAAATACTGATTATATTATCCTAGCAGCCCCACTACTAAAGACTGCAATATTAAATCAACCTTAGGAATACGTGTGTTCTTTTGGCTACCTATATTTCCAAGTTTCACTGAATGTGGATCATTGACTGCCATTTGATATATGAAAGATAGAACAACACAATATCACCCATCTTAGTTTCATCGCACCTCTATTTTTGAATACAGATAAGTAAGAGAGTTTAGGAAATAAACATGAGGGAGCCTCAGACAGCTACAGGAATTCAAGAAAATCAATATAGCTGACATTCCGTATCAGCAGGTTCCACATCCATAGATTCAACCAACTGTTAATTGAAAGTATTTGGATTAAACAATAAAAAATAGCAATACAACAATAAAAAACAATACAAATAAAAAACAATACAGTATAACAACTATTTACATAGCATTTACATTTATTAGGTATTTTTAGTAACCTAGAGAAGATTTAAAGTATTTGGGAGGATGTGCGTAGGCTGTATATAACTGCCATACCACTTTATATAAGCAACCCAATTTTGATATCCACAGGGGGCCTGGACCAATCCCCTTTGGATACCAAAGGACCACTGTGAATAGAAACTCGAGCACTCATAAGTGAAGTAGTGATGGCAGTAGCCAGAGCGGTATTAATATTAGGAATAGTAGTAGCAATAGTAGTTACCAACTATGCCCCCAGGTTTACTCCAGGCTCATGCAGAGTTTGATACCTGCACTGCCTCTCCTAAGGCTTTGGCAGGAATTAGTAGTAGTGACAGTAGTAACAGGCTTCTATTTTTTTTTTTTTTTTTTTTTTAAGATTTGGAAACTGAAAGTTATAAAGGTTAGAAAATGCATCTCAAATCAGGCAGTTTGTACATGGGAGAGTGAGATTTGGACCAATCCCTGCACTCTTAAACACTAATCTATCAAGTATGTGAAGTAACAGGTTTTTGTTGTGGTAGTAATTGTTTTTAAGTAGAGTGTCCTCATTGTTCTTATGTTCTAAAGACTTATGACATACCCCATAACTATTAAATGTTGATTATTTAATTCTGTTATCACAGTAATAGATGCTATAATATATCTCACAGGATGAACGTATGGGGGGGACTTCGAGAGACAATAAGGCATGCCGTGTACCTGAGAGCCTGTTTGCACAGTCATGGTGTCTGTTTTTTGTTTTTGTTTTTAATGCATAGACTTTCTTGACCAATTTGAAGAGAAATCTCTGAAAATTTAGTGGAATATATTTAGAATCAGACACTTTGCTCAAAGAGAATCAGTTTTCTTATTCGTACTTGTGTAATAAAGGAGTTGGCTAAACTACAATTCTGTGATCCTGACAGAACCCTAATTTTGAGTATTAATCCTTGATTTTAAATAATGTAATTTCATTTCATTAAACAGAAAAGTAACATAGTGGGCATGACATCAATATTGTATTATATATTTTTAGATTTGTATAATGTTTATTCATTGAAATTTAAATTTATCAGCATACTTAACTGAATAGCTGCTCTAATTACATAACCTTGGTATTTTGGGGATTAAATGATCCTAAAGTCCCTTTTAATTCTGAAATTGTAGAAATCTAATAGCTAATTATAAAGTTTTTTTTAGGTCAAAGTTCTTTTACTTTTTCTTATATTTTCTAAGTTGCCACCTCCACGTAAGTTTGTGGCAAGAAAGTTTTCTAGCACTTGGAGTAAATAATAATAATAATAATTACAATAATAATAATAGATGTTAAGGAATAAAGACACTGGCGAAACAATAGGTAGACATAGATAAACTGTAGAAAACTGAATTGTGTTTAGTGAGTGACGTTAAGCTTCATCAGTATCACATTTCTTTTCAAAATTAGGAGTTCACCTTTATATCATCATTAATAATTCCACTTAACATGAGACAATTTTTAAAAAAAAATCTCATATTTGCACAATCACACTTAACCATGGGTGTGGCTGGAGAGTTATTTTGCTTGTGCATAACATTGTGTTACAACAAAATACATTATAGTAGATACAATTCTGCCTTACTAGGTACCTGCCTCCATCTGAGGTGTGGTCAAAGCTATCCTGGAGGTATCGAGCACCAGGAAGTCACCAATGGTCCGCAAAGTATATTCATGTTTGGCTACTGTAGACTGCAATATGCATACTGTGTATCTATACAAAGATAACTATCCCTTATTTATGAGTATAATTTTGATGACACATATTCCAATTTATTATTTACCCCAGCAACTTCTGGAGGCATAATAGGGTGTAAAACTTGTGTTTTGTAAATTTATATTCCCAGAAAATATCCCAAGTAGAGAAAAATGTAAGTCCACATCTGAATGCCATTAAAAGAGATCAGCACAGTTTCCATAGCATTTATATTTCTAGGACTAAAGTGTCTTGTTCCAACTGTTTTTCTGCCTTAGACTTTGAACAAATATAGATTATGTTATGTTGCATTGCCTGCCAACAGGGTCATTTCTGGTCATTCATGCTATTAATTCCCACACAAATATCCTGCATTTTGAGCAGTCAAATTGGTATGCATTTTTTTGTCTGTTGGCTCATGTTTGCCAACATACTTTCTTACTCATTCAACTTTGAACTATAACACTAAGCATATGCCTGCAAAAATCCCCATTTTCCATTGCATTCACTTCACCAGGATGATTTATACAGCCGTTTGATTTTGTTTCTTGTGACGCTCATTTTTCTTGATTGAGTCCAATCCACTTTTCATCAGTCTGTCGTCTCTGATTACTTACTTTAAATATTCTTTTTAAATTCTATGTTCTGTCCTTTCTCATGGCAGGTATCCACGAAAGCCCATCTGTTCTGGCCTTTCTTCCATGACAGGTTTAGTGTGTCAGTGTGCAAACTGATATTCACTGTCTAGTAGCTCCTCCCTTTGTCAAATCTTTCTTTCATACAGCTTGAACAACATTTTGAGAACATTTTAATCCACATTTTTTGGCTCAAAATCAATACTTAACTCTTGTTGCCCAGCAACATTGAACTAAACTATTTATCTTGGCATTCAAAGGGCAATGGAATCCCCTCTTAGCTTATTAACTCTCATATGTTGCCATCTTTGTATCTTTTGTTATAGCTAGAAGCATCTCCTCACTTAATACACTGATGCTTTGCTCATGGTGTCCTTCCTACCTGAAAAGCTGGCTTCTCATCACTTTGTGTAACTGAATCCTATTCATCTTTCAAAGTTTGTTTTAGGTGGCTCTTTCTTTAACTATTTCAGCTTCCACCTCCACTCTTTTTTCCTTTCTTGACATGCCCTTAGCATCATCTAGTTTGACACTTTACCTGTGTTTACGATGTCACTTGCTACACTTTACTTAGAGCTATATCTTTTTACAACTTTTGAGGGCAGGGTGCTATTGTTGCACTTCACATGCAGCAGACTCATAACGGATAACTGATTGATCACCTGATGACTTGACAGAAGCAAGGCATACGTATTTCTTCTTATATATCTGCTGCCTGTCCCACCAATAAGGTGCAGTGCAGTGACAAAATTCATAGTCTTATAGTGGTGAAGAAGATACTCTCCTTTCACCATGGTCCCCCTCCCCAGAGGACACTTAACTACCTATAAGAGCTTTCAAGGAGCAACAGAAAGATTAGCCACTTGCACCACTTGTCAACAAGCCCTGCTAACTGGGATATAGTATGGAACATTTGTGGCACTGAATTACTTACAGATTGAGAATGTTTTCAGTCAAGTCCCTGGGGACAAGGTTGACAATATCAATGAGGTTGCAAGAAATGCCCTCTTCTGCACCGTTACTCTTCCATTTCTCTTATTTTTGCCATCCTTCCCTCCATTAGTCTTTTCTCATCAATTTTTCTTATTACTTTTCATTTTTAAGTTAATTTATTATTTTATAATTAAAGCTTCACTTATTTATTGGGATGAAGTTGCAAATAACATTCACTGTTTAAAAAATTTCTATGACCAAACTTATTTTTGAGCATGAACTTTCAGATTGCATTAGTTACCTAGATTGTATTTTTGCATTGTATTGTTGGTTATATGTTTATTATATTTAGGTCTTTAGAAAACTAGGTCATTTTCAGTATTCTTACAAGCCTTTCCTTTCCCTCCAATCATTAAGCATTAAACTAAAGTGAATCAAACAACTAAGTCCTTCCCAAGCCTAAAACTACAGAGTTAAATGAAATAAATGAAGAGGTGTCAGCAGGTCTGTTCTTCTTCCTTCTGACAGGATATGAGTAAGACAATAGAGACAGGTCTAAGTTCCATTTTCAGAGACCTGCGGAATTAAGAAGGAAAAAAAAAATCATTACCACTATGATTGTTATTTTGCTGCTGAGAAAACCTCATTGCTATTAAGTTATTCCAATTACTTTCAACCCCTTTTGTTTCATCCACATCAAATTAAAAAAAAAAAAGTTGGTAAACATTTCCAAGTAGTAATACTGCATGAAGTCAGGAAATCTAAAAAAGCTTTTATTCTTAAATCATTCTTGCTTATTTAAATGTAACCTTTCATAACAAATTGCACAATTTTTCTTCATGCTTACGCTCTTTCTCTTTCCCCACCTTGATTCACATGGAATTGGTGTTGACACTTTCTCCACTTTTTTTCTGCTTCATTGTATTTCTAGTTTTCTAGTGATTCAGCTTTTTTCTCACTCATAATACTTGATCTCATTTTATTCCTCAAATTATCCTCCTTTTCATTAAAACTTGAGGTCCATATTTGGGACTCTTGCAGTTTAAGAACAGAATTATCTCAAAGATTCAAGCAGAGAAAAGCAGCAATTTCTACGCCTTCAATCAAAGACCATTACTTCTTTTTTTTCAGAAAGTCAACATTATTTTCTCCATGTTTTATTTAGAAAACATGTAGTGAATACCTACTGTATGCAGGCACTTTACCAGTTGCTAGTGACACCGCAGTAACTGCAATAGACAACTTGTTTCCTCTAATAAGGGAATGGGCATCCTTCAAGAGTCACCTTTTTAGCAATAATTTGGGAGGAAGAGGAATCTTCCTAAAGTAGATGGATCTACAAAATTAGCTCTTAATATATAAGTATAGCTAGTAACAACCTAATGTTCTTTTAAATCTAAGAGAATTATTTTGCATTTTCTGCATTCTGCTCTTTGCTCTAAAATGAAATCATAATACTGAACAGCCTTATTTCTCACTGAAATAAGTCAATGGTTTGTAGAGTGTATTTTACATCTTTTCATTTCCTTGTCATGCAGCTTAGTTATTGTATTTGCCAAATGTAGAGGGGTTTTTTCCTCTTTATTTTCCTGCTTTTCTCATATCATCTATTTTTTTTCCTATGACTGTGGCCACTCATATTCCCATAAGAGCATTAGAACATCTGTAAGACCTAAGGAATGGATTTTTCATATTCTTCATCTTTTGATGACATTTTTCACATATTTGAATATAAATATATTTTGAATCTTTAAAAGAAAACTTCTTAACAGGGTAATTGCAGATGGCCATCCAGTAGCTGAGGATACTTTTCACTGCTGTGTTAAGTAACAAGTCAATAAATAATTTGTAATATCTTTAAGAGAGATTAATAAGTATAATTACCTTATAGCTTATTATATTCTCATTGCTTCCATTAAAACTAAAGTAATATTGAGAAAGTTACACAAAGGTATGTATTACACAAGAATTAATGGGTGGCATTCTAAAGTTATAGGTTTCACCTTACAAGTCTGTTCTTTAGAATTTATGTTCAGCACTTATTTCATCACTCACACCTAGTTCTTCCCACGTATACTTTATCAACCCATCTTATCATTATTCAAGTAGCAGAATATTCTTACCTGATCAATAAGGAAAAAAAAGCACACCAGAAGATAACACTTATGGAGGTCTATAAAACCAGTGTTCAAATTAAAGCCATAATTGTAGTCCAGCTTTTGTGTATAATAATAGGTTGGCATCATGGAAATAGTTTAAAATTGTCTCATTCTATTTTTATTATAAAATTGCATTTTTGCATCATTTTGAATCGTGCTAAGTATAATAATGAATCCCCACTGTTTTTCTTGAGTGCAGCTATGAGACTCTGCACGGAGGAGTGCAGGGTCCTGGGACACTCTGACCAGTGCTGGATGCCACCACTGCCCTCACCGTCTTCTGATTATAGGAGTAACATGTTCATTCCAGGGGAAGAATTCCCAACGCAACCCCAGCAGCAGCATCCACATCAGAGTCTTGAGGATGACGCTCAGCCTGCAGATTCCGGTGAAAAGAAGAAGAGTTTTTCCACCTTTGGAAAGGACTCCCCAAACGATGAGGACACTGGGGATACCAGCACATCATCTCTGCTCTCGGAAATGAGCAGTGTGTTCCAGCGTCTCTTACCGCCTTCCCTGGACACCTATTCTGAATGCAGTGAGGTGGATCGGTCCAACTCCCTGGAGCGCAGGAAGGGACCCTTGCCAGCCAAAACTGTGGGTTACCCACAGGGGGTAGCGGCATGGGCAGCCAGTACGCATTTTCAAAATCCCACCACCAACTGTGGGCCGCCACTTGGAACTCACTCCAGTGTGCAGCCTTCTTCAAAATGGCTGCCAGCCATGGAGGAGATCCCTGAAAATTATGAGGAAGATGATTTTGACAATGTGCTCAACCACCTCAATGATGGGAAACACGAACTCATGGATGCCAGTGAACTGGTGGCAGAGATTAACAAACTGCTTCAAGATGTCCGCCAGAGCTAGGAGATTTTAGCGAAGCATTTTTGTTTCCATGTATATGGAAATAGGGAACAACAACAACAACAAAAAACCCTGAAAGAACTGGCATTGCCAAATAGTTGCATTTATCATAAATGTGTCTGTGTATATTGAATATTAAATACTGTATTTTCGTATGTACACAATGCAAGTGTGATTATTTTAATCTGTATTTTAAAAATACATTTGTACCTTATATTTATGTGTAATTTAACAAACAAATTTTATTTTTTTACTCCCATGACAGACATGTTTTTCCTAGTCGTGTAGAAACTAGCCACTGTTCAAATCTGATACACTATTCAACCACAAAGTGTAAAGGCACTGCTTAGATTAGTTTTGTTGGGGAAGAATTATTATGTTGTATGAACAACCCCACTGAAGCATTATACAATTCTTAATTCCATTAAGTGATCCCACTTTTTTTCAATAACTTTTTAGAAATTAAGAATCATTAAAATTGTTAAGCTATTTTATTGTTATTTTCTCTACTTTCTACTAGCCCCAATAGTTGAACTCTTATAGGAAAATCGAAAGATAAAGTGAAAGTTTATTTCAGGACTGAGAAATATCTTGAAGGTTATTTATTAGATGACTATCTCAAATGAACTTTTTATAGACAATGATGAAAACAGAATTAAAGTCAATGTTTCCTGACTCCCAGGCCCCTACTATTCCAGGCCATCACACTGGCCTGTTCCGGAGAATATTTCTCTCACAATATTATTATCTACTTATAATTATGGTAAACAATAAATTTTATTCCATCCTTGTAGTATGAAACATGCTCCAAGGAAATGGAATCTGTCCTTTAAATGGATAACAGTATGTGTTCTAATGGCATAAAATATTACTGGATAAAAACAGTTGTGTCAGTGTCTCTCCTAAGGTAGTAAATATAATTGACTTATTCTGAACCCATTCTATTTTGAATCTCCCCTTTCCTCTCACAATACTTGAACATTTTAATCTTTTGGAATATTGTCTTTCTTTGTTATAACTATTCATTTTTAGCTTTTGTCTCCAGTGCATGATCTCATATTTTTGCTTTTATTTTTAGTATAAGAACATTTATAAAATCATATTTTTGTTACTGCAATTGTTTTATTTGTTGTGTGGCAAATGAGAAATCCTTTATTTATTGTGCTGTGATCTCTCTGTGTGGAATGCCTTGGTGAGAGAGATGCTTATTATGACTATTATCATTTCTGACCAAGCTTCTATTAATGTTATTTCTAATAATACACTATCTTGATTGTACTCTCCAGAAAATTTTTCTGTCAGTGAAAATAAAAGAAAAATTAAAGTAAAGCTAAGGAACTGTCTATAAGTCAGAGTCCTGTTCCTACATATTTGTTCAAAAGCTTGGCATGCAGCAGGCCCTTCCTGAGCGGGTGATTCAGTGTTGAGTTTCAAATAATAAACAGGCAGCATTCAGTTGGCTGGGCGAACAAGAAAAACACAATGGAAAAGGAATGAGTTTGAGACTTGTAATGGGAATGAAAGTAGTAAGCCATATTCCAGCTAAATAAGTTAAATGCATTTGGGGAATAAAGAAAAAAGAGTAAGCAAGCAATAATTGCTTGAATATTTTTCAAATTACAACAAAAAAAAATACTTTCTTAGGACATTTTGTATTAAATTGTGCAGGATAAAAAGGTATCCTTACAATGTTTCCAGGAGGCAAGAATATTATCGTCCCTGGCTTGCTAGTCAGGAATTGAAACACTGGGAAAGTTAAGTAACTGAAAAGTGACTAAAATTCAGATATTTGAATTCTCAAATGAGTACCACATTAAATAGAATATATTACCTCTTTCAACAGGCACATTTTCCTTTATAGGAGAGATTGCAATTACAAGTGAAATTTCAGTATATTTTTCAGTAGATTACACACACAAACGCTAACCATATTTAAATGCATTCTGCCTTTCAACTTCACTTCCTTTCAGTATATATTACCATTAAGAAAAAGACTTTTATATCCTCACTGTTCTTAATTTAAAGCACCAGCAGTAATATGGGAAGCTATGCTGAAAACCGCTATTTTGAATAATGTGAAATAAATAAAATGCAATATTTCATTCAACACAAAACTTTTGTATATTGTCCATATTCCAAGAATTTCATGTCTCAAATTCCCTTGTTTCTCCAGCCTTCTCCATTTATTATTGCTTCCCATGTCCACAGATTAAGAGAATATAAGTGCAAGATTTCAGCTTTTTGCTTCTGTTCCTTTCACCAAGTAACATCCTTTTAGTGAAAGCTGGGATGTCTGATGCTATCATAGCAACCTAATCTCTCATCAAGTTTGTATCACCTCTTTTTTGATACCCTACCCTTCCTCAGATTGAAACAACAAAAAAGCACTTAAACATTCTTTCCTCCACTTATTATTTTTAATCCCTTTAGTTCTACTGGATTATTTGAAATGTTCTTCAATGATAATCATATATTAAGGAAATTATCTTCAAAAAATGTAACTCAAAACTGAATCTATTGCTTAACAAATCCTCCTTAAATGCTTGTTTATAGAAAGATGAGAATTAGCTTTCTTCAAATTCTTGTAAGTTATTAACATTGTTATTAATTGCTCATTGATTTACTTATTGATCTTAGCAGATGGGGCTTATAACATTGTTAATCATTTAAATTATTGTTCTTTCTGTCACAAATATTTAAACTTGCCACTTACCAATAGATAACTATTAAGGTAAAGATGAGTGAGTTATTAAGTTATTGTCTTATTGAAGTCACTGAAGAAGTCGCATTTATGAAATTCAGCTTAGTTTTCTTGTTTCATTCTTTTGATACTGGTGATCAGAAAATATTCAAAGATCAATTTGAAACATTGACACTTTAAAATTTAAAGATTGTAGATCTATTTTAAAAATAAGCAATATTTTACTGGATTACTTGTATGGGTGAAAAATGCATTGTCTGACAGGGCAGCTTTCAACATGGCAGAAACTAATAGAACTGTCCCAAGACTGTCTTACATGTTTTGACATTTCTGTTCCATTTCAGTATATCTGGATAATGTATCATCACAAGAACGAAACAAAAAAACTAAGCTGATTTTCATAAATGTAACTTCTTCAGTGACTTCAAAAATTAAGGATATACTGAACTCTGAATAAGCAACACATGTTGCTGTTTAAAAATTAAAATCTGGGCTGGTTGTGGTGGCTCACACCTGTAATCCCAGCACTTTGGGAGGCTGAGGCGGGTAGTCAGGAGTTTGAGACCAGCCTGGCAAATATGGTGAAACCCCATCTCTACTAAAAGTACAAAAATTAGCCATGCATGGTGGTGCACGCCTGTAGTCCCAGCTACTCGGGGGACTGAGGCAGAAGAATCACTTGAACCCAGGAGGCAGAGGTTGCAGGGAGCCGAGATTGCACCACTACACTTCAGCCTGGGTGACAGAGCAAGACTCTGTCTCAAGAATAAAATAAAATAAAATAAAATAAAATAAAATAAAATAAAATAAAATAAAATAAAATAAAATAAAATAAAATAAATCTGCAGAGTGTGGTGGCTCAGGCCTGTAATCCCAGCACTTTGGGAGGCCTAGGTGGGTGGATCACTTGAGGCCAGGAGTTAGAGACCAGCATGGCCAATATGGCAATACCCCATCTCTATGAAAAAAAATACAATAAATTAGCTGGGTGAGATGGTGCACACCTGTAGTCCCAGCTACCTGGGAGGCTGAAGCAGGAGAATCACTTGAATCCGGGAGGCGGAGGTTGCAGTGAGCCGAGATCGAGCCACTGCACTCCAGCCTGTGCGACAGAGCAAGATTCTTTCTCAAAAAACAAAACAAAACAAAACAAAAAAAAACAAAAAAAACACAGGCAGATCACCTGAGGTCTGAGGTCGGGAGTTCGAGACCAGCCTGGCCAACATGGTGAAACCCCATCTCCACTAAAAATACAAAAATTAGCTGGGCGTGGTGGCACCCACCTGTAATCTCAGCTTCTTGGGAGGCTGAGGTAGGAGAGTCACTTGAACCTGGGGGGTGGAGGTTGCAGTGAGCTGAGATTGCACCACTTCACTCCAACCTGGGCTACAGAGTAAGACTCCATCTCAAAAAAAATTAAAATCCAACCAAATGATGCTGGGCACGGTGGCTCACGCCTGTAATCCCAGCACTTTGGGAGGCCAAGCCAGGCAGATCATTTGAGGTCAGGAGTTCAAGACCAGCCTGGCCAACATGGCAAAATCAAGTCTCTACTAAAAATACAAAAATTAGCCGGGCATGGTGGTGCACGCCTGTAATCCCAGCTACCCGGTAGGCTGAGGCAGAAATAATTGCTTGAACCCGAGAGGAAGAGGTTGCAGTGAGCTGAGATCGATCCACTGCACGCCAGCCTGAGCAACACAGTGAGACTCCATCTCAGAAAAAAAAAAAAGAAAAGAAATCCAACCATATGAAAGTCTTAAAGATTTATGTCAGTTTAAAGAAGAATAAAAATAGTGCAGGCATTTCAAAAGAACAGCACATTTAAATTCCTTAATTGCAGGTTGAATGCCCAAAGTAAAGCCACCTTTACATTTATAAGCTGTTTTAGGTTGTGAAAGTGTAAGATGCCATACTGATTGTAATCATTTATAATATTAGGATTTCTCTGTGAATGATAGCAATAATACTGTATGCTACATAAAATGAAGTTTTAATTTGATAAATTAGGCTATTTGGGCCACTGAAGTATCATCTGGTTCAGTTAAGTTCCTAGAATAAACCTAGTCACTGTTTCTGAGATAATTAAATGATATTTACACGGAAATTGAAAATATTGTATTGCCTAAATTGTGGTTTCATTCTTTATCTGTGTAATTGAGGTCATAGTCAAGTATATACACTCTTACTACCAGAAAAAATGGGGACCTTTAATATAATCTAACCCCAAAAAATAATTAAATAGGTAGACACTATATAATAGATGTAGAAGTGGTAGTGTATATTCCTTATTAATTTATTATATTTTTATTATATGCTAGCATATACAACTTGTAGCACTGTTAAACACATTTTATGAGGAGCTAGCATCACAAAAATTGCTACCAAAATTTACACACTTTCTGACTTTTAAAATTGCAATAACACATCCTACTCTGGCACTTTAAAATAATAGATTTCTATTTCCTTTTATGACTTCTGCAAGATGCTCCTAATTCTTGTTTGCTTTCTCTGATTTTATCTCTTCAATTTATTTATTTAATGGTATTCTTCCTTGATAATTCATGCTACTGTCCACATTTTATAGCACTCCTCTCCAAATTTTCACATGTATAGAGTTCGTCATATAACCACCTAGATTTTATATTTTTTTCTTATGTCTTTTCTTTGTTATTGATATGATAGGGATCATAATTTTGATATATAAAGCTAATACATTTTGTTCTCAATAAACCTTGCTCCCATGATTCATTGGTTTAATGAGAAGGTAAATTCATGCAATCAAGAACAAAGGGTCATTTCTTTTTTGTCTAAGTTTTAAATTAAATGTTTTCAAGTGCCTAGAAAGAAACTAGTGTAGAAAACGTGGCTTATTGAGGGAGGAAATCATTTTTTTAATGTAAAACACTTATCTTTATGTATTAAGGGTTGGAATGGTGAGGATGGAATTTTACTGTAAATCAAAGTGAAATGCAGGAAGAAAACAGCATAGTGAATAAGAAAGGCCCCTTGCCACAGAATAGAATGATAACTTAGCTAATTGTTGGGAGTATAAAGCCCTAGGGGTGAGTAAATTGAGAAGGGTAAAATCAGATGTTAGTATATTTTTTATTCCCACTGCCAATGATCTCTAGAATAAATTACAGAACAAGACTTTGAAAATGATAATTTCTGTTTCCCTGACCCTCATGGCACAGGAGAGCAGACATGGAAGGAAGTGGTGCCAAGGTGTTTGCCTCTGGGAAACATCTTGCTCCTCAGTGCCTTTGGATGGATGTGTGGCCTATGAGAAACTCAGACTTTATTCCTTGCTGAAATGGGGGAGGGGTTGATACTATAAGCCCTGTTATATTTCAAAATGCTTTTATCTAAATGAAGTCAGGCTTTCTAAAACCCCATGTACATTCCTGTTTTATTAAAAGGTACATTCTACAGCTTAGAATAGCTAACCACAGAATATTCTAGACATAAGAAGCATAGACCTTTCCTTTGGAAGTAGGCCTTTGTTTTAGACAGTGCTTTAGGTTCGAAATTATCTACAAAACTGCCAGTAAATCTTGTTACATACAATGTAATAAATCCCAAATATGCAACTAATAATGTTTTATGAATTCTAACCAGAAAAATGTTTTGCCAGTCCCTGCTTTGTGATTTGTATTTCTTCTGCAAACTCATGCCCGGAGGCTGTCATTGTGGATTTTGTGAGCTTCCTCTACAAACTTTTGGTATTTGTTGAGAGTTTTGGGTGGCAAATACATGAGATGGTAATGAGCAAAGTGTCTCTATGGGAGACAGCTACTGAGGACCAGCTGCCCCACTGACTCAGTCCACTCACTGCTTTTTCTCCCATGCCTTTGTCCTCGTTTTCTCCTTGGGTGGCATCTTAGTAGAAGGGCAGTATGTAATCATTCCTTTGTTCAATAAGTAATTATTGTGCACTTACTATGCCTGAGACACTGTTCTAGGTGTGCTGTGATACATTGATGAACAAAACAGACAAAAAAGAGAGGAAGAGCAAAGCCTGCAGTACCAGTCCATGACTGTCATGACAGGCCAGGTCCACACCATCATACCAGTACAGGTGGACACTTCCCATTAGGTGTAATGAGCAGTAGAAGGACAGAGACATGACCCGAGGCCCTGCTTTGCTTACCAGTGCATCCCTTGACCATTACAGATGCTTAACAACTCTGTTGAATATGTGAATGACTGTGTGCTTCATCTTGAACCCATATGCTACCTAGGGAGAAAGACTAAAAATATGACGGCATTACTACCATTAAAAACTGAGTTATTACCTAAATGTTCTTAAGTATTAAAGCAGGGAGAACTAGAATAACATTAATTGACAGCATTCGGTGTTCCCTGCCAGCAGGAGGAATTGGAAATCAAGAACAACTAGAACCAGAAAGAAGGATATGTATCTACTTCTTTTTCAGTTTTCTAAGGGCAATTCAGATACTTGGAATATTTGCCCTTTTCTCTGGGCATTTTTTCTAGATTAAGTGCTAGAAACATTTCTAAGTTAAGGTTTCAGTTCCACCCTTTATGGCAGTGTGACTGATCATGTCACATAACAAGTGTATACTTTGATTTCCACATTTGTACTGCAATTGAAATAATACGAATAACACTATTCCCCTCAAAGAACTGTTGTATTGATCAAGCGAAACAAAAAATGAAATCTAAGTAAGGATAAGGACATGGGAGAATTTATAATAGGAACATTTTGTTTTCTTGTGTCATTTTTCGACAAAAGGGCTCATCAGCTCAGGTGTAGTTATAGGAAATTAAACAACAAGCTTTTTCTCCATCTGAGATTTCACCATTTACATTTTTTTCTATCCATTTGTAAGTGGATGAAAAGAAAAAAATTATATAAAAAGTAGAAGTTATAGTCACTGTTGGTATTAGTTGGGAAAGGCTAACAGTTACAAAAAGTAAACTCAATATGAATAATTTTTCATACATAGCAGAAGTTTCTTTCTGCACACATAACAGCCAGTCTTAAGTGAAAGTACAATTTCTGAGAGAGTGACGTTCCTTCATGAGATCTTTTGGGGACCTGTACCTTAGAGATTCTGCCATCAATGACCCATCATTTGGGAGGGATCTCATTTCCAACCAGGCACAAGGGAAATGATCATGGAGAAATACAACTAGGAGGTCATTAGGGACCAGCCTGAAAATGTCACATGTTCCTTCTACTGATAGCTCATTGTCTAGAAACAGTCACATGACCACATAGGGAGGCTTATGCTGGCCACTGTATTTTGGTGAGCCACGCTGTTCCTATAATGCAATCTTTAGGAGTTCTAGCACCTTCAAAATGTCACTACAAGTTATTTATATAATTTCTACAGTAATTTTCAGTTTACTTCTCTAAGTTGCATATTAGAATCTCAATACCTAGAGAGAAGGAAGAGTATATTTTTATTTTCTGTTTTTTTTTTTTTTTCTACAGAGACTAGTAGAGTTTTGACCTGTCTAAGGTACTCAATCATGAGTAAGTAAACATATAAGGAAAAAAATAATGTCATTTGAATCCTACACAGATCCTTCACAGTAAACTTTATTGGCTGGGAATGGAGGGTGAGGACAGGGAGTGGAATATGATAAGGATGTGTTAGTATATATAGTAATTATCAGAATCAACATCTTTTCAAAATAAATGTGACCTCTTGTTCCCAAATTCTGATAGGTATTGGAAAGGTGACTCCCTGATTGTGGGGGTGGGGGTTGGGGGTATGGAGCCTGCAAAGCAGATTGAGGGAAACGTTTAAGGTAAAAAAGTGCTCTCTGTTTTGATTGGGGGTGGTACATCACATTTGTCAAAGCTCATCAAAGTGTACATTTAACATCTGTGCATTTTCTATGTAAATTTTATTTTATACAAATCATACCTCTATTGAAAAAATTGAAAAATAATTCACAACTTAAAAAATATAATGAATTAACAAAAATAGAGAAAAAATATGAGGACTTCTCACTGAATTCAAAATCTATTTGAATTTTTAAAAATTTTATTTATTTATGTTTTATTTTTAGAGATGAGGTCTCATTAAGTTGCCTAGGCTGGTATCAAACTCCTGGCCTGAAAGGATCCTCCTGCCATCAGCTTCCCCAGTAGTTGGGATTACAGGCATGAACCACCATGCCCAGCCAAATCTATTTGTGTCTAATTTAGACAGAAGTCACTTCAGGGAAAGTCTCCAACAGTATATTCTCTATGATGTTGCATTGGCAGCAACTCAGTTCTGCAACCCCGTCTTCTTTCTCTTACAACATTAAGATTCTTAGGAGAGAGGGTGTCTACTTAGAGTTAAATAGTGTGACTTCTGCACCATGAGTTGTGACAAGGGAAACAGTGTTGAAGAAACTATCATGAACATTGAAGACCAAACTTCAGTTAAGGAGCCTTCCTATATTTAGGAAAAACCTTACGATTTTTGTTTTATTTTGACAGAAACGCAAATTGTGCTTGTCACAGAAGGGAGAAATCTGCATCCATTGTCAGGATAGCAAATATTATGGGAAAGTAGGTACACAAAACAACCCTATTTTGGGTTCAGATTGAGACAGAGAGGGAGAAATACATGTGAAGTATGCAACAGAGAGAATTATTTATGTTTGTTTGTTTTTGTGGGTTTTTTTTTTTGGAGACAGAGTCTTGCTCTGTCACCCAGGCTGGAGTGCAGCTTAAACTTGGCTCACTGCAACCTCCACCTCCCAGGTTCAAGTGATTCTCCTGCCTCAGCCTCCCAAGTAGCTGGGACTACAGGCATGCACAACCAAACCCAGCTAATTTATTGTTTTTTGTTTTTGTTTTTGTTTTGCATAGAGACAAGAGTTTTGCCATGTTGGCCAGGCTGGTCTCGAACTCCTGGCCTCAAGTGATCCACCCACCTCAGCCTACCAAAGTGCTGAGATTACAGGCTTGAGCCACTGCGTCCGGCAACAACAGAGATAATTCTTATAGAGTTTTCCAAAACTATTCCTGGGGTATTTAATTGTCAGTTACAATGGAAGAGAAATCTGAGACTTATCCAGAACTATCATATGAAGTTTTTGAACAGCAACAAGATTGTTGCTCCAAAATTTTAAAAATGAAACAGCTACTAAAGCTATTAGAATGTGCAGCAACCCCCAGCCTGTCAGTGAAGACTTTATGCCATTTGTTAGGCTCCAAGCCTCCCTAGAGACTGTTAGGGAGTGTATCTGGAATGAGGAGAGCTCAGAAATGTTTGCAGAAACCTTGTTCTCCATTTCAATGAGTCATTAATGAAAGCCTATGACTCATAGCTATATAAATGAAAAAGAAGCAAAAGCAAAACAAAACAAAAAGAGCACAATCTTCCCCTCCATATCTCTCAACCTTTATTACAATGCATCCAATCTTACAAAAGCAAAGACATGCTGTATATAAAATTTGTGTCCCAGATTAAGGACCATATAATGTGAATGATTTGGGAATACCTAGCCTTCTACAGTAGGAATCTGTCAACTCTATAATTTCGTTCAAAGAGAAGGCATGCCTTTTGCTCACTTAACATGAAAAGTCTCCATTTGATATGTAACCCGCTGAATTTCAATGAAAATATCCATACTCAAAACTACTCACTAATTGCTCATAGTTTTGAAGGTGGTTTAAACTGTGACTCAGATTAATTCATTTTATTCAACAATATGCAATTTTTCTGAAAGAAATTTTTTATTCTGAGAGTCTTTCAATTTTGTTTTTTCTGCTAACATGCCTTCAAAAGGTAATCACTCTTCAGAATATCATATCCTGAATATTACCCTCTTCTGGGAGAAAGAAAATGATTTAATCACATCTTGACTCTTCGCACTTTTCTCATTTATTTGTTTCTCATTTAGCAAAAAGCTACTGTTGATAAATTGTTCTTTCAATTTTTAAAATTTTTTTCTATGCATTTCTCAACTATGCTTACTATTTGATTTTTTTTTACTAAAATTTTATTAAAACATGAATTATATCATGTTAAGCAATTGGGTGGTTTTGTCAGAGGTATTTAAACCAGAGCAACTCCTTGAATAGGGGCTTGGCAAAATAAGGTTGAGCTGCATTCCCAGGAGGTTAAGGCATTCTAAGTGTCTAGATACAGGTCATAAAAACCTTGATGAAAAAACAGGCTGCAATAAAGAAGCTGGCCAAAAGCCACCAAAACCAAGATAACGGCAAGAGTGACTTCTGGTCTCCCTCACTGCTACATTCTCACCAGTGCCGTGACAGTTTACAAATGCTGGCCCAGCATGGTTGCTCACACCTCTAATCCCAGCACTTTGGAAGGCCAAGGCAGGTGGATCACTTGAGGTCAGGAGTTCAAGAAAAGGCTGACCAACATGGTGAAACCCCGTCTCTGCTAAAAATACAAAAATTAGCCCGACATGGTGGTGCACACCTGTAGTCTCAGCTACTTGGGAGGCTGAAGCAGGAGTATGACTTGAACCTGGGAGGTGGAGGTTGCAGTGGCCCGAGATTGCACCACTGCACTCCAGTCTGGGTGACAGAGCAAGACTCTGTCTCAAAAACAAAAAAACCCAACAATGACGACAAAAAAACAAATACCATGGCAATGTCAGGAAGTTACCCTATATGTTCTTAAAAGGGGAGGCATGAATAATCCACCCCTTATTTAGCACATAATCAAGAAATAGCAGTAAAAGTGGGTCTATGGAGTAGCCATTCTTTATTCTTTTACTTTCTTAATAAACTTGTTTTCACTTTGTTCTGTGGACTCACCTCGAATTCTTTCCTGCACAATATCCAAGAACCCTCTCTTGAGGATCTGGCTCTGGACCCCTTTCTGGTAACAGTTTCAGATTTTAAAAAATAAAGCAACTAATATTAAAGTAAAAGATAAATGCTGTAGTGCTTAACGGTAAATAATTTGCCTTTCTATTCAGTGTCAGGCTGGTTTAATTATTTGAAGTTTAAAAATAAAACAATTAGAGAAACATAATTCTCTCCCTTTCTCTTGTATATCTATTTTTAGGACATTTCTGGCTATTTTATTCTTATTATAACTTTTGGAATCAGTTTGTCTACTTTTCCAAAAAACATACTGTTGGTATTTTAAACTGGGATTACATTAAATTTATAGATTAATTTGAGGAAGAACTGAGATTCTTATGGTGTTGCATTTACTATTGCAAGAGTGTATTTTCCTTGTGTTAAATCCTTCTTTTGTGTTCCTCAGTGGCATCTACAGTTTTGTCACAGAAGATTGTAGGTTTCTGGTTAAGTTTTGTATCCTATCTTTTGATGTTTTAGTCTTGTACCTAGTTATTGTTCATATGAGAATCTCCTTTATTGCTATATATTAATTTAGTACTATGTCCTGTAACTGATTTTTCTTATTATTTATAATGGTCCTCAAATTGATCCTTCTAGGCCGGGTGCTGGGGCTGATGCATGTAATCCCAGCACTTTGGGAGACTGAGGTGGGTGGATCATTTGAGGTCAGCAGTTTGAGATCAGCCTGACCAACATGGTGGAACCCCATCTCTATTAAAAATAATTAGCCAGGCGTAGTGGCACACGCTTGTAATCCCAGCTACTCTGGAGGCTGAGGCAGGAGAATTGCTTGACCCTGGGAGGCAGAGGTTGCAGTGAGCTGAGATTGTGCCACTGCACTCCAGCCTGGGTGACAGAGCAAGGCTCTGTCTTAAAAAAAAAATAAATAAATAAATAAAACTGATCCTTCTGGATTTGCTAAGGAGAAAAATATATTATTTTCAAAAGTTAGTCATTTAAAATTCTCCTTTCTAATTTTTGTTTCTAAATTTATTCCTCAATCTATTCCACAATTTCATTGGTTAATCTAGAATAATTTATATTAATAATATTAATAGCACATTTTGTTCCATTATTATTGATGTTAAAGAGAATGTTCTAATGATTTCTCAATTAGCATATACATGCTATTTTTCATGTATATAAATATAGTCATGTCAAAACTATTTTATTTTATTATGATTTTAAAATCAAGAATAGATGTTGAATATTATTAAATTTTCTTACATCTAGTGAGATTTATATGACAATCTCATTTGACTTGCTAAATATATTGATTTATTTTTATAGCTATCCTAATATTTAACCACACTAACATTTTTCCAGGAATAAACTCCAATTGCTTTGCTATTTATTAAATAAACAGCTAATTTTTACCTAGTTAAAGATGTTTTTATCTTAATGTGCTTGAACAAGGGGTTCCATGCTTGTTTTGTGTGTGCGTATGTGCATGTGTGTGCATTTACCTTTAATGGGATTTGGGGATCATATGATATACATATTCTAAAAGAATTACGAAAATTTTTCCTTTTTTCTATACTCTGAACAATTGAAATTTAATTGCAGTTATCTGTCACTTGATGTTTTGGAAGAATTCCCTTGCGAAACCATCTGGGCAATAGCTGTTAGACTTTATCTCCTGAATGGTAAATGATCTGTGTAGTATTCCAAACCCACTTTCTGGAGTCAGTTTGGTAGTTTGTATTTTCCAAAAAAATAAAGACAGAAATGCAATTTTATACCTATTCTCAGGAATGCAAAGATTTGGACACTTTTTTTTTTAAGAATTCTATCAATTTTCCCAATTCTACCAATGTCTATAGTTATTACTTTATTGGCATTGAAAAGGTTATATTATTGTTTGTCCTCTTTATTCATGTTACTCATGAATAAAATAAGCACAGTGAATGATAGGAAAGGCAAATGATATAACATTTTGCAAAATTGGGGTCCCAAAAGAAAATGAAAGAGCAATAGGATTTATTTATTGATTCTAACATTTAACAATTTATGCTTAATTAATTTTTGTTTTTATGTTTATTTCTACTTCTTTAATTACATTTGTTCTTTTTCAAACATTTAAAATTGGATGCATAGTGTTTTGATATTATATATTATGTTTTGTCTGTGCTTTGTTTAAGCTGTTATACTTTCAGAAATGTATGTTTCAATTGGCGTAATTTTCTAAATCATTTCTAATTTTGGTTTGACTTCCTCTTTTCTCCAAAAGAGAATGTAAAATTTCTCTCTTAATGTGGAAAGATTATTACTCTTTCTTGTTATTAATTTCTGTTTTATGGTATTGGGATTATATTAACTCTTTGGAATTTATTAAGCTGTTTTTTGAGGCCCAGTATGTGGTCAATTTGTTAATATTATTTAGGAATTTGAAAATAATTTGTTCTCTTAGCTTTTAGAAATATGCCCCCATATTTGTGTGTGTGTATATAAATATACACACACACATATATACATACACACATACACACGAACATTTAGTAAAAAATATGTAATAATGTTCATATTATATTTAAAATTATATTATTTAGTGTTTTATGCTAATTTTTGGTCTTTCGTTTCTGTTATACATTGAGGAGTGAATAGCTCTTAAAATTGGCTAATACTATTGTGTTTCTATCTATTTCTCTTTGTTTTTTCCTTGTGGATTTTGCTCTGTTAATGTTATGCTATGTTTTTGGTGCATCGATAAGTGTCTGGTATGCCTTTGCCTATTTATTAATTTTAGCCAATATAAATATCTTTGTGGTAATAATGTTCTCATGTTTTGTTCTGTTGTCCAACCTGATAATTTTATTTTTTGAATAAACAAGTATAGTCTATTTACATTTAATGGTATGATATATGTTTTGATGTATACTAGTTGGTCAAACTCTCTGTTTAGGTTACCCTATTTACGATTTCTTTTTATGATTTTTGATATAATTTAGTTTTATTTTTCTTATATTATAAAATGTTTCATTTACACATTTATAATTCTAACTATATAACGAATTCAATTCTCTTTCTTTAGGCAATGTCTATATAAACAATGGCATTAAATATAATTCAATATTTTTACTTTTATTTTCCAATTCTCCGTCTTTTCCTATTTCAGTGTTAAATGATGCTATGACAAACTGTGAGCCTGGAATAACTTTATTTCCTCTACAGATAATTTGATTCTTTTTTGCCTTCATCCCTTAAAGATTATTTCCTTGTAATTCATTCACGGCACAGTAAAGTCTACCAGAATGTATTTCAGTGCAATTGTTAATTTTATGTGTCAACTTGACTCTGTCATGGAGTGCCTAAATAAAACATTATTTCTTGGTGTGCTTGTATAGGTGTTACTGGATGAAATAAGCATTTGATTCCATGGACTCAGTACAGCAGATTGCCCTCCCCAATGTTATGGGCATCACTCAATATTTTTAGGATCTGAGTAAAACAAAAAGTAGAGGAAAGACAAATTTACCCTTTTTGTTTCCTGCTTGCTTGCTTGAGTTGGGATACTGGTCTTCTCCTGCCCTGGACTGGGAAATCAACTCCTGTGGTTCTCAGGTGTTTGAGACTTGGACTGAAATTATACCACTGGCTTTCTTGAGTCTTCAGGTTACAGATAGCAGATCATGAGACTTCTTTGTCTCCATAATCGTATAAACCAATTCTTCATTTAAAAAATCTCTGCCTGTATTTGTATATATACATGTTTGTCTCCTATTGGTCCTGTGTCTCTTAAGAATCCTAATATAGTTCAGCATTTATATATTGATTGTACTGTGTCAGGGTTTCCTGGATAGGTGTCTTTTCTTAATCAATACATTATATATATTTTTGGAAAGTTTCATTTTTTGGAGAAAGTTTTATATATATTGTATTATTTTATTTTGGAAAGTTTAACTTTATTATATCCTAAGACAGTTTTATTGTTTTCTTTTCTAGTAATCAATTTATATTCTTTTGGAACCCCAATTTTGTGAAACGTATCATTTGCCTTTCCCATCATTCATCGTTCTCTTTTTGACCTCTTTTCACCTATACTTTATCATTTATCACCTTTACTTCTAAATCCTATCATCCATGTCAGATTCTGTGTCTTCAGCAGTGTTTAATTCTTTAGTTGCTAAATCCAATGAGAGTTCATTTCCCTGATGGTTTTCTGCATGTTTGGATGTATGTTTGTATTTTTATGGGTTTTCTTCCTGTGCTTTGCCTGTTGATATGGTTAGGCTTTGTGTCCCCAGCCAAACCTCATTTTGAATTGTATCCCCATAATCCACATGTTTCAAAGGAGAGACCAGGTGGAGGTCATTCCATCATGGGGGCAGTTTCCCCCCATGCTGTTCTCATGATAGTGAGTGAGCTCTCATGAGATCTGATGGTTTTATAAGGGACTCTTCCCTGCTTCGCTCAGCACTTCTCCTTCCTGCTGCCTTGTGAAGAAGGTACCTTGCTTCCCCTTTGCCTTACACCATGATTGTAAGTTTCCTGAGGCCTCCCAAGCTATGCAGATCTGTGAGTCAATTAAATCTCTTTTCTTTATAAATTACCCAGTGTTGAGCAGTTCTTTATAGCAGTATGAAAGCAGACTAATACACCTGTCATATTTCACTGTTCTTGAATTCTCACCATGACTCCCCTGAGATTTTTTAACTATACTTTGCATTTTCTGTTTTTATTAAGGTGCTCACTTCACAAAGTTTGAGAATGTTTCCTGCAAATATGACTTGTGTTTGTGACTCTTTTTTCATTCCTGTATTTTACGAGTCTTGAGGCTTTATTCCAAAGCTGTTCCTCTAAGGTCTTACTGTCCACACAGATTTCTAAATTATTGTCTGATTGTTGAATTGTTCACAGAGCGGGCCTTTGAAGAATGTGATCTGAATAATTTTCTCAAATGTTAAAGTCAAATAGATTTGTATTAGTTTTCTAGAGGATTATAACAAATTACTACAAACTAGTAGCTAAAATCAACAGAAATCAGTTTTGCAGGCCAGAAGTTTGACGTAAAGGTATTGTCAGGGTCATCCTTCCTTTGAAAGCTCTTAGGGAGAATTCTACCTTGGCTCTTCAAGCATCTGGTGGCTCCTGGCCTGTGGCATCATAACTTCAATCTCAGCTTTCATCTTTACATGGGTGTCCACACATGGCCTTTTCCCCTTTTCTTCTCTTAAAAGGATAACTGTCATTTGGATTAAACACTCAGCCCCAAACCAGGATCTTCAACTTAATTAATACAAAGACCATTTTTTCCAAATAAGATCCTATTTAGAGGTCCTGGATAGACATATTGTTTTGGGGTCCACTACGCAATCCACTATAGGAACTTAATGTCTTTCTATTTACCATTTTACTTTGGCTAAAATTATAATTCTTTCTTCTTGTATGGCTTGGGTTTATAAATATCTCCATGATTAGTCAAAAATTGACTTTTATTTTTGTTTTTTATAACTTTTTGTTAATTTTTGGTGATATCCAAAAAAGAAGAAAACTTCTGTCTATATCACTATTTTTAAATTTCCAGTTTCCGTTTTCTTTAACATGTAATTCAACTTTATAGAAGTAATATAATCAATGAAAGTGACATTAACTTTTTGCATGCAAATTCATCTGCAACTGCATCTGTAATTTCTGTTCCCTTTTAGCAAGAATGAAGACAGAGCTCACCACCACTTTTCTGTAACATTTCCTCCTGGGTGTTTTGCCTTATTTTTTTTTTTTCTATAGTATTTTCAGATTCTCTATATGTCAAATCCATTATTAATACACTATCTTGTCTATTTCCTCTTAAATAACCCTCTCTTTATCTTGCATTACTTCAGTTATGACCTTCTCTCCCTCCTACACTCCATAACCAAATTTTTAAGACATTTTTTCATACTTATTAGCCATGTTTACACGCCCACTTATAAAAGATACATTCTGCCATTCATTTCCTTTTATTCATTTGTAGTCCAAATAGTTATTCTAATTAGAAATTTCACAGAACTTTATAAGAGATGAATAGGTTTTATTATTTTTAATTTTTGCTGTTTTCCAAATGAGACATGGACTAGAACAATTTGAAAAGCACTGACTTAACAAATATTGCTTGTCAGTCTTGTATTACTTGTTCTTTTTGAGAACATTACACATTACATAAGCAATAATATTTTGAGAAAAAATGACAAAATATGTATATTCCTATTTTTTGTGTTGAGAAGATGGGTAGAGCCTAATAAATGTAACTGTTGGAATGGGACAGAAAATGTCTGAAGACGATGAATTGTCTGCAGTAGAGAAAAAGGTAGTTAGCTGTTATTGTTAAAACCTTTGTCTCTTTGCTCCCATATTTTAAAGCTAACGTGTCTTAAAAATTTAAACTTTTCCTCAAGGTGAAATTTTGTCTTAATATTCTGAATCTCTGAAACATTGTGAAAAGATCACTACCCACTCATCTTTTTAAATTGAATTTTCAAAGAACACAAATCTCGAATTCGTTGTCTACCCAGCCCTGGGTCACCAGTTCTCTCAGTTTTGCACTTTTGCATTGCTATATTCACCAGTCAAATCATAGGCTCCACATTACCTATCCGAGAGTTTCTGTTTTCTGAGTGATCTTATTTTCTTCCGGCATAAATACCAAAGCAAAAATGTTGACTCTGTACACTGATGGTTATTTTTAGCTTTCTGTACTTAAAAAAAATAGTCACGTGTATGCCAAAGTAGCAAAACAAAACAAACAAAGAAAAAAGCACCAAACTTTCCTTTAGCTGGTTTGGTAATATATGTTTAATGTATTTTCTTGTCATTTGCAAGACCTACCATGGGAATCTTAGCATTTAAAAATTTTTTTTTCTCAGATAATGTATAAAAATGGCAAGAGGTTATTTCAGGGCAGATTTTTGGAAAGTATTTTGAAATAGCGTAAAGTTAACATTTCCTAAATAGTTATTTCAGAAACTAGACCATTAACCTTTAGAAAAGACAAAAAAAGTATATTGGAAATTTGCCTTAGTATTATTGGCTTCAGGCAGAATTTGGAATAAGAAGCATATTTCTTGGACAAACTTAAACCACTAACTACTATTTATGAGAAACTAATAAAACTTCATAATAAAACACTCTTACCTATAAGGTAACTCCATTCAATAGAATACATTAAAGAGTATTATCTAGAGTTATAAAATAAAATAGCATGAAAAATTAGAGATACGTATTTTTGAAGTTAAATCAGAATATTTCTTTTTTTTTTTATTATACTTTAAGTTTTAGGGTACATGTGCACATTGTGCAGGTTAGTTACATATGTATACATGTGCCATGCTGGTGCGCTGCACCCACTAACTCGTCATCTAGCATTAGGTATATCTCCCAAGGCTATCCCTCCCCCCTCCCCCCACCCCACCACAGTCCCCAGAGTGTGATATTCCCCTTCCTGTGTCCATGTGATCTCACTGTTCAATTCCCACCTATGAGTGAGAATATGCGGTGTTTGGTTTTTTGTTCTTGCGATAGTTTACTGAGAATGATGATTTCCAATTTCATCCATGTCCCTACAAAGGACATGAACTCATCATTTTTTATGGCTGCATAGTATTCCATGGTGTATATGTGCCACATTTTCTTAATCCAGTCTATCATTGTTGGACATTTGGGTTGGTTCCAAGTCTTTGCTATTGTGAATAATGCCGCAATAAACATACGTGTGCATGTGTCTTTATAGCAGCATGATTTATAGTCATTTGGGTATATACCCAGTAATGGGATGGCTGGGTCAAATGGTATTTCTAGTTCTAGATCCCTGAGGAATCCCACACTGACTTCCACAATGGTTGAACTAGTTTACAGTCCCACCAACAGTGTAAAAGTGTTCCTATTTCTCCACATCCTCTCCAGCACCTGTTGTTTCCTGACTTTTTAATGATTGCTATTCTAACTGGCGTGAAATGGTATCTCATAGTGGTTTTGATATGCATTTCTCTGATGGCCAGTGATGATGAGCATTTTTTCATGTGTCTTTTGGCTGCAGAAATGTCTTCTTTTGAGAAGTGGCTGTTCATGTCCTTCACCCACTTTTTGATGGGGTTGTTTGTTTTTTTCTTGTAAATTTGTTGGAGTTCATTGTAGATTCTGGATATTAGCCCTTGTCAGATGAGTAGGTTGTGAAAATTTTCTCCCATTTTGTAGGTTGCCTGTTCACTCTGATGGTAGTTTCTTTTGCTGTGCAGAAGCTCTTTAGTTTAATTAGATCCCATTTGTCAATTTTGTCTTTTGTTGCCATGGCTTTTGGTGTTTTGGACATGAAGTCCTTGCCCATGCCTATGTCCTGAATGGTAATGCCTAGGTTTTCTTCTAGGGTTTTTATGGTTTTAGGTCTAACGTTTAAATCTTTAATCCATCTTGAATTGATTTTTGTATAAGGTGTAAGGAAGGGATCCAGTTTCAGCTTTCTACATATGGCTAGCCAGTTTTCCCAGCACCATTTATTAAATAGGGAGTCCTTTCCCCATTTCTTGTTTTTCTCAGGTTTGTCAAAGATCAGACAGTTGTAGGTATGCAGCGTTATTTCTGAGGGCTCTGTTGTGTTCCATTGGTCTATATCTCTGTTTTGGTACCAGTACCATGCTGTTTTGGTTACTGTAGCCTTGTAGTATAGTTTGAAGTCAGGTATTGTGATGCCTCCAGCTTTGTTCTTTTGGCTTAGGATTGACTTGGCGATGCAGGCTCTTTTTTGGTTCCATATGAACTTTAAAGTAGTTTTTTCAATTCTGTGAAGAAAGTCATTGGTAGCCTGATGGGGATGGCATTGAATCTGTAAATTACCTTGGGCAGTATGGCCATTTTCACAATATTGATTCTTCCTACCCATGAGCATGGAATGTTCTTCCATTTGTTTGTATCCTCTTTTATTTCCTTGAGCAGTGGTTTGTAGTTCTCCTTGAAGAGGTCCTTCACATCCCTTGTAAGTTGGATTCCTAGGTATTTTATTCTCTTTGAAGCAATTGTGAATGGGAGTTCACTCATGATTTGGCTCTCTGTTTGTCTGTTGTTGGTGTATAAGAATGCTTGTGATTTTTGTACATTGATTTTATATCCTGAGACTTTGCTGAAGTTGCTTATCAGCTTAAGGAGATTTTGGGCTGAGACAATGGGGTTTTCTAGATATACAATCATGTCGTCTGCAAACAGGGACAATTTGACTTCCTCTTTTCCTAATTGAATACCCTTTATTTCCTTCTCCTGGCCAGAACTTCCAACACTATGTTGAATAGGAGTGGTGAGAGAGGGCATCCCTGTCTTGTGCCAGTTTTCAAAGGGAATGCTTCCAGTTTTTGCCCATTCAGTATGATATTGGCTGTGGGTTTGTCATAGATAGCTCTTATTATTTTGAAATACATCCCATCAATACCTAATTTATTGAGAGTTTTTAGCATGAAGGGTTGTTGAATTTTGTCAAAGGCTTTTTCTGCATCTATTGAGATAATCATGTGGTTTTTGTCTTTGTCTCTGTTTATATGCTGGATTACATTTATTGATTTGCGTATATTGAACCAGCCTTGCATCCCAGGGATGAAGCCCACTTGATCATGGTGGATAAGCTTTTTGACGTGCTGCTGGATTCGGTTTGCCAGTATTTTATTGAGGATTTTTGCATCAATGTTCATCAAGGATATTGGTCTAAAATTCTCTTTTTTTGTTGTGTCTCTTCCCGGCTTTGGTATCAGAATGATGCTGGCCTCATAAAATGAGTTAGGGAGGATTCCCTCTTTTTCTATTGATTGGAATAGTTTCAGAAGGAATGGTACCAGTTCCTCCTTGTACCTCTGGTAGAATTCGGCTGTGAATCCATCTGGTCCTGGACTCTTTTTGGTTGGTAAGCTATTGATTATTGCCACAATTTCAGCTCCTGTTATTGGTCTATTCAGAGATTCAACTTCTTCCTGGTTTAGTCTTGGGAGAGTATATGTGTCGAGGAATTTATCAATTTCTTCTAGATTTTCTAATTTATTTGTGTAGAGGTGTTTGTAGTATTCTCTGATGGTAGTTTGTATTTCTGTGGGATCGGTGGTGATATCCCCTTTATCATTTTTTATTGTGTCTATTTGATTCTTCTTTTTCTGTGTCTATTTTTTTCTTTGTTAGTCTTGCTAGCGGTCTATCAATTTTGTTGATCCTTTCAAAAAACCAGCTCCTGGATTCATTGATTTTTTGAAGGGTTTTTTGTGTCTCTATTTCCTTCAGTTCTGCTCTGATTTTAGTTATTTCTTGCCTTCTGCTAGCTTTTGAATGTGTTTGCTCTTGCTTTTCTAGTTCTTTTAATTGTGATGTTAGGGTGTCAATTTTGGATCTTTCCTGCTTTCTCTTGTGGGCATTTAGTGCTATAAATTTCCCTCTACACACTGCTTTGAATGCGTCCCAGAGATTCTGGTATGTTGTGTCTTTGTTCTCGTTGGTTTCAAAGAACATCTTTATTTCTGCCTTCATTTCGTTATGTACCCAGTAGTCATTCAGGAGCAGGTTGTTCAGCTTCCATGTAGTTGAGCGGCTTTGAGTGAGATTCTTAATCCTGAGTTCTAGTTTGATTGCACTGTGGTCTGAGAGATAGTTTGTTATAATTTCTGTTCTTTTACATTTGCTGAGGAGAGCTTTACTTCCAAGTATGTGGTCAATTTTGGAATAGGTGTGGTGTGGTGCTGAAAAAAATGTATATTCTGTTGATTTGGGGTGGAGAGTTCTGTAGATGTCTATTAGGTCCGCTTGGTGCAGAGCTGAGTTCAATTCCTGGGTATCCTTGTTAACTTTCTGTCTCGTTGATCTGTCTAATGTTGACAGTGGGGTGTTAAAGTCTCCCATTATTATTATATGGTAGTCTAAGTCTCTTTGTAGGTCACTCAGGACTTGCTTTATGAATCTGGGTGCTCCTGTATTGGGTGCATAGATATTTAGGATACTTAGCTCTTCTTGTTGAATTGATCCCTTTACCATTACGTAATGGCCTTCATTGTCTCTTTTGATCTTTGTTGGTTTAAAGTCTGTTTTATCAGAGACTAGGATTGCAATCCCTGCCTTTTTTTGTTTTCCATTTGCTTGGTAGATCTTCCTCCATACTTTTATTTTGAGCCTATGTGTGTCTCTGCACGTGAGATGGGTTTCCTGAATACAGCACACTGATGGGTCTTGACTCTTTATCCAATTTGCCAGTCTGTGTCTTTTAATTGGAGAATTTAGTCCATTTACATTTAAAGTTAATATTGTTATGTGTGAATTTGATCCTGTCATTATGATGTTAGCTGGTGATTTTGCTCGTTAGTTGATGCAGTTTCTTCCTAGTCTCGATGGTCTTTACATTTTGGCATGATTTTGCAGCTGCTGGTACTGGTTGTTCCTTTCCATGTTTAGCGCTTCCTTCAGGAGCTCTTTTAGGGGAGGTCTGGTGGTGACAAAATCTCTCAGCATTTGCTTGTCTGTAAAGTATTTTATTTCTCCTTCACTTATGAAGCTTAGCTTGGCTGGATATGAAATTCTGGGTTGAAAATTCTTTTCTTTAAGAATGCTGAATATTGGCCCCCACTCTCTTCTGGCTTGTAGGGTTTCTGCTGAGAGATCCGCTGTTAGTCTGATGGGCTTCCCTTTGAGGGTAACCCGACCTTTCTCTCTGGCTGCCCTTAACATTTTTTCCTTCATTTCAACTTTGGTGAATCTGACAATTATGTGTCTTGGAGTTGCTCTTCTCGAGGAGTATCTTTGTGGCGTTCTCTGTATTTCCTGAATCTGAACGTTGGCCTGCCTTGCTAGATTGGGGAAGTTCTCCTGGATAATATCCTGCAGTGTTTTCCAACTTGGTTCCATTCTCCCCATCACTTTCAGGTACACCAATCAGACGTAGATTTGGTCTTTTCACATAGTCCCATATTTCTTGGAGGCTTTGCTCATTTCTTTTTATTCTTTTTTCTCTAAACTTCCCTTCTCGCTTCATTTCATTCATTTCATCTTCCATTGCTGATACCCTTTCTTTCAGTTGATCACATCGGCTCCTGAGGCTTCTGCATTCTTCACGTAGTTCTCGAGCCTTGGTTTTCAGCTCCATCAGCTCCTTTAAGCACTTCTCTGTATTGGTTATTCTAGTTATACATTCTTCTAAATTTTTTTCAAAGTTTTCAACTTCTTTGCCTTTGGTTTGAATGTCCTCCCATAGCTCAGAGTAATTTGATCGTCTGAAGCCTTCTTCTCTCAGCTCGTCAAAGTCATTCTCCATCCAGCTTTGTTCTGTTGCTGGTGAGGAGCTGCGTTCCTTTGGAGGAGGAGAGGCGCTCTGATTTTTAGAGCTTCCAGTTTTTCTGTTCTGTTTTTTCCCCATCTTTGTGGTTTTATCTACTTTTGGTCTTTGATGATGGTGATGTACGGATGGGTTTTTGGTGTGGATGTCCTTTCTGTTTGTTAGTTTTCCTTCTAACAGACAGGACCCTCAGCTGCAGGTCTGTTGGAATACCCTGCCGTGTGAGGTGTCAGTGTGCCCCTGCTGGGGGGTGCCTCCCAGTTAGGCTGCTCAGGGGTCAGGGGTCAGGGACCCACTTGAAGAGGCAGTCTGCCGGTTCTCAGATCTCCAGCTGCGTGCTGGGAGAACCACTGCTCCCTTCAAAGCTGTCAGACAAGGACATTTAAATCTGCAGAGGTTACTGCTGTCTTTTTGTTTGTCTGTGCCCTGCCCCCAGAGGTGGAGCCTACAGAGGCAGGCAGGCCTCCTTGAGCTGTGGTGGGCTCCACCCAGTTCGAGCTTCCCGGCTGCTTTGTTTACCTAATCAAGCCTGGGCAATGGCGGGCGCCCCTCCCCCAGCCTCGCTGCTGCCTTGCAGTTTGATCTCAGACTGCTGTGCTAGCAATCAGCGAGATTCCGTGGGCGTAGGACCCTCCGAGCCAGGTGTGGGATATAGTCTCGTGGTGCGCCGTTTTTTAAGCCGGTCTGAAAAGCGTAATATTCGGGTGGGAGTGACCCGATTTTCCAGGTGCGTCCGTCACCCCTTTCTTTGACTCGGAAAGGGAACTCCCTGACCCCTTGCGCTTCCCAGGTGAGGCAATGCCTCGCCCTGCTTCGGCTCGTGCACCGTGCGCGCACCCACTGGCCTGCGCCCACTGTCTGGCACTCCCTAGTGAGATGAACCCGGTACCTCAGATGGAAATGCAGAAATCACCCGTCTTCTGCGTCGGTCACGCTGGGAGCTGTAGACCGGAGCTGTTCCTATTCGGCCATCTTCCAGAATATTTCTTCTAGAAAAAATTTATGGAATCTAATAAAAGGAATAGATTGTAAAGAGAAAGTGTAAATATATAGGTGATGAAGTAACAGTTTCATAGAAAAAACATAAAAATTTCTCAAATTATTCTATAAAAATTATGCAGAAAAAAATGAGTCATACAAAGCCTTCTAAACTAAATAAATGACCTATTTTTAAATTGAACTCAGACCTACATATATCAGTGTGAATGCCACAGCATTGCTACAATGATGTTAACAAATGGGTTGAAATGATAAGAGTTGCTGATAAGATAGGAGACATACTGGCTACCATTAGGAATCTGGGGTGTTGACTTAGAGTTAAGGATTGACTTGTCTAAGTGGGAATTGTCCTCTTACAGAAAACATGAAAATTAAGACCTATTTCATGGAAATCAGCTATAGAAGTAAGTGCTAAGAATCCATATTAGCAAAATGCTGAGGTGATGAATCAGGCTGAAGTCACTGGTACAGCACATCACGTTGCTACAAACTATGTTTGCAGGTGTGCACTCCAGCTCCTGATCAAGGCGGTGAAGGTGCTTATGTTCCCTCTAATATGAAGCTGTATAAGCCCACTGCCCAGAGGGTCTGGCTCCCTCTTCCAGAATCTAAAATCTTGTCCTACTCTTTGATTATGGGAAGCCTTAGAATGTGATGAGCAGAAAGAAAATCATGTAATTGCTGTCCCTGTCCCTTTATTTTCCCCAATAATACTGTTTCAGGTTCAGTGTTCCTATTTGCTGGTCAATCAGCCTTCTTTGCTTACCAGTCACTTTCGGAAAGAAAGGGAATGTGCTTTTAATGCTCAGTTACTCAGAAATTTTACCTATGATGCATATCTCATAAATGAAATGAGAATGTGTCCACACATTAAGATGTTGAAGCAGTTACTGGTTACTGTCATCTTTTCATTACTAGATTTTAAACTCCTAGAACAAAAAAAAATGCCTATTCATTGAACAAAGGTATTTATTTATTTTCACACTATGCCACCACAAAAATTATTGTGATAGACTCCAAGGCGGCTCCCAATTATCCCTGCTTTCTATTGTTAATGCTTTTATGTATTCATGCTTTTCCTTGAGTGTGGATGAGATCTGGGATTTATTCCTGTATTAGTCTCTTCTCACACTGCTAATAAAGACATACCCGAGACTGGGTAATTTATAAAGATAAAGAGATTTAATGGAATCACAGTTTCACATGGCTGAGGAGGCCTCACAGTCATGGTGGAAGGCAAAGGAGGGGCAAAAGCACATCTTACATGACAGCAGGCAAGAGAGCGTGTGCAGGGGAACTGCCCTTTTATGAAACTGTCAGATTTCATGAGATTTATTCACTATCATGGAAATGGCGTGGGAAAAACCCACCCCCATAATTCAATTACCTCCCATCAGGTACCTCCCATGACATGTGAGGAATATAGGAGCTACAATTCAGGATGAGATTTGGGTGGGGACACAGCCAAACCATATCAGTTCCTGACTCATAGAGTATGATAAAGATGATGGGGGTGTTACTTTTGTGATTATATTACCAAAGATTGCAACCTCTGTCTCGCTAGTAGACACTTCATATTGGCTTTTTCTGGCTTTGATGAAGTAAGCCGCCATATAGAGAAACTTAAGTGATGAGGAATTGAAGGAACCATCAGGTGGCAGCCAGAAAGGAGCTGATATCCTCAGTTGGATAAGACATACTTACTGAATCCCACCAAAGCCATTTAAGCCTGGAAATGGGCCCTTCCTCACTTGAGCCTCAGCTGAGGCCCCCAGCTTTGTCGGCACTGATTTCAGCTTTGTGAGAGAAGCTGAAGCAGAGGACACAGGCAAGCCAAGCCTGGATTCCAGACCCACAAATAATGCAATATTTTGTTATGCAGCAATAGATAACTAATGCAGCTATACACATTTAGTCATACTTAGCTCCACGGATCGTGTTTTGTTTGATAAATTGGCTGCATTATATTCATACCAACTTTTTAACGTATTGGATGCAAATCAATAGTCAAATGAGAATATTTGTTATTTAACGAGGTCCCGTAAGGAGAGTGTTCCATTCATTTAAACCTAGCAAAGAGCAAAGAACAGCCCTTTGTTAGAACATCAACAATGAATTTTCCAATATTAGTACTGAGCCTAGTTCTTCCTATTTTTCTATAGGAACAATTAGAAATAAATGAAGATAACTGTGTCTTCCTTCTTAATATTCTATAATTAGTCACTCTCAATTTGAACTTACATTGGCACTTAAAAATATTATCCCCATTAAAATAAGTAAGTGCATAAAGCACATGTGGAGACGCCCTTCTCCTTTGCCCAAGTGGGCAGACTCAAAAGGTAAAAAGCAAAAGTCATTGGTTCTGCTTGCACATAGATGATGTAGAGACAATTAATTTCTTCTTGGTGGAAAACAGTAGGAAGGTAAAAAGCAAAAGTTGGCGGGGGGCAGTGGCCCACTCCAGTAATCCCAGCATTTTGGGAGGCTGAGGCAGGTGGATCACCTGAGATCA
Source organism: Homo sapiens (assembly GCF_000001405.40). Taxonomy (NCBI): domain Eukaryota; kingdom Metazoa; phylum Chordata; class Mammalia; order Primates; family Hominidae; genus Homo; species Homo sapiens. Next base: position 137,493,742 of record NC_000004.12, on the reverse strand, counting down.
GGAGTTCGAGACCAGCCTGGCCAACAAGGCGAAAAACCATCCCTACTAAAAATACAAAAAAATTAGCTGGGCTTGGTGGTGCATGCCTGTAATCCTAGGTACTCTGGAGACCGAAGCAGGAGAATCGCTTGAACCCAGGAGATGCAGGTTGCAGTGAGCCGAGATCATGCCACTGCACTCCAGCCTGGGCAATACAGCAAGACTCTGTCTCAAAAAAAAAAAAACAACAATGAAAAAAAGCAAAGGTTGAACTAATGATAGTCAGTGGAACTATATATACATAGTTCAAACCAGAAAAAGAATAAACAATGTTGGTTGCATCTAGTTTACAGAAACATGAGTTTCTTCTTTTCCTTGCCCATTCATCTATCTGTATTATTCTTTACCACTACTTGAAATTAAAGATACATCACATAACTAAATAACTTTAGCTTTGTGTAGTGGCAGTATCATAGCCAATAAGGCTTTATCTAAGGCATAACTATTGCTAATTAAATAATTTTGAATAAAGAATAAAAGAACAGATCTATTTCTCTATGTATCTATATGGTCACAAAGTATGTTTCTGTTCTGGTGGGGCAAAATACTTTGCTTTCTGGAAGTCTCATTCAATATTTACACTTTGCTTCTTGATTTTTTTTCCTACAAGTCTGATGCTTTGACTATTTTATTTTTTGTCCCAAAAATTATTAAGACTCAACTAAGGGGACCATATTCAGGCTCATACCAGGTCCCTTAAGATTACTTGTGCCATTTCTGCGTGTCTCTTTCCTGGTTTTAGTATGTCAGTCTCTCTCCAAAACTTTCCTTGCATTGTTGGAATTGTGTTGCTCAAATTTAGAGAGAAGAAGAAGTGCCTGTGAGGTTGCGCTGGTGAAGAGGATTGACTGATACAGTAATGCAAAACCCCAGCTCCGTTGCTTCTCACAAAGATACATTTTAGATGCAATGTATTCATGGAGCAACCCACCACGATCAAGCTGAGGGTGAGACTTTGCCTGAAACTTGTATCACTGCTGGGCTTCTGCTGCTTCCATTTCTGCTTCTTACTCTCCCTTTGTGGTTTTTCCTGGGACTATTTCTTCAATATATTACTTGCATGTGGATAACTCTCTCAGGCTGTGCTTCTGGAAAACTTGACCTAAGACACAAATCATAACTACAACACTCTACTTTGAAAGAGCTTGTCCCATGTCTCTAGATTTATGTTTGTACTGTTGTAAGATTTAAAAAAGAAAGAAAGAAACTGTACTTCTACCAAATTAGAATGTACATTCCAAAAAAGTGGGTCCTTTGTCACTATATTATAGGAGGCTACCACAAGACCTGATTCATAGGAGATGCTAAATGAATATTTTTTGAATGAAAGTCTATGCCTAATAAAAACTTTACTAGTCAAAAAAGTAAACTGATATGATTAAAAGACAAACTAATATTTAATATGAAAAAACGTCATGCTGAAATATGCCCTTATGTTAATTATCTAATGCATGGTGACATATATGCATATGTTAATTAATTATTTAATAGAAATTACCCAAAACTTAAATTAAAAAACAATGACTAAAAACAATGATTGTTGTTACTTCTTATGACTCTGTAGCAAAGGAACTTAGGACACAGCAGGGATCACTTGCCTGTCTGGAACTTCAATGAGAAAACTCAAAGATAGGAGCTGGAATTGTCTAAAGGCCCACTCACATGTTTGAGAGCTGATGTGGCCTGTCAACTGAAACCACCACATGTAGACTGTAGATGTAGCTAGGACTTCATCAAAACATGGTACCTGCATTCCAAGTACAAATATCTCAAGAAAGAGAGAAACAGAAACACACGCAGACACTGCAGGTAGAAGCCATATTGGCTTTTGGAATTTATCCTCAAAAATTACACGGTGTCACTTCTGCCACATTGATTGAGACAGCTATGAGGTCCACCCAGGCTTAGGGGAGGTAACAGAGATGTCATCCCTTGATGGGACATGTTAATGTCACATTGTACTTTTGAGGGTATGAAATAAGATACATATTGGTACAGCCATTTTGGGAAGAAAAATCTGCCACATTGTCTCTAACAATAAAAAGTAAATTATTTATTTATTTATTTAGTAAATGCAAGGAGAAAGATTACTGGCTTGGAAATTAGGCAAGAGATTGGCTTTCTTCTTTAGAATTCCTAATTTACTCTGTAAATTCTATTAATTTAGAGCTTTGTTTTTGTAAAATTTTCTTTCTCTTTGTAAGATGAAATGAACTCTCTAACTCTGTTTCCTAATATATTTCAGTATTATCTTTAGTTGAAATGTAGCAGCTAATTCTCGATGTAAAATTTAATAAAGATATTGTAGTCTCAAACTTTCTAAGGATTTTGTAAATGTGAGTGAAACATTTTCTTAAAGAGGAATAACATATTTTTCGTATATAATCTGGGTTAAATCACAAGAAAGGCTACAAAATATAGACGGTAATTTATCAGTAGGGTTCTGAAGTCACCTTGTCTTCATTGAAACCCCAGCTCCTTCACTTATTATCTGTTTAAATTGGAAATATTGCATTTCTGTGTCTTTGTTTTCTCATCTATAAAATTGGCACAATAATACCAAATTTGTGGAGTTTCTGTGAGGAGTAAATGAGTTAAAAAAGAGTGGCTGGCACATATAATGAAATTAAATATACATTAACTGATAGTTATTGTTTTTAAATAATTCACTTGAGTGTACACCACTGTATTAGAAAACACAGGCAGGTAGCCATTAAAAAGGAAAACATACCATGACCATTAAATTCATAAATAACACAGTATAAGAGCCTAAGTAGTGATAGTAGTTGAATTGGGTTGATTTTTGCTGTTTCCCCCAAAATATATGCCCATGTCCTAACCCCTGGAACCTGTGAATGTGACCCCATTTTGCAGATTTAATGAAGTTAAGGATCTTGGCATGCGATCACCCTGGAGTATTTGGGTGGGTTCCAAATCTGATGAGAAGTATCTTTGTAGGAGATGGAAGAGAAGACAAAGAGAAGACGGAGAGAAAAAAAGATGAGAAGGTCATGTGAAGACAAAGGCAGAGACTGGAGTTAGGCAGCTACAAGCTAAAGAATGCCTGGAGCTACCAGAACCCAGAAGAGACAAGGAAAATATTCTCCCCATAGGTTTTAGAGAGAGCACAGCTTTGCTGACACCTTGATTCTGCACTTCTGGTCTTAAAAAGTGTAATAGAATAAATTTCTGTTGTTTTAAGACACCAAGTTTGTAGCAATTGTTACAGCAGCCCTAGGAAACTAATACAGTGGAAGATCTGGTAATTCTACCCTTCAGTATACAAGGGCATATGACACTTTGTCCTCTGTTTTCTTGCCCTCAGTAAAAGTGATGACTGGCAACAGCTAACATTCAATTTCACAGACTGGTAGCTGAATCTGCTAAGCGTTTTTGATTAAACTGCTATGTGTGGCTATCTTTGGACCCAATTTAAAAACTAGAACTTGGGATATTTGTTTTGCCTACAACACAGCTTCTAAACTGTTCTTGGTTCAGTAATTCAACAATAATGGGCAGTGAGGCGGCATATGGCAGTGAGGGTGCAGGTTGCTTTGAATGTGATATACCTAAGACTTTTTAATACCCCTAAAAGAAATGCTGCTTTTGTTAAAAGGTTTTTATTTGCCTTAAGAGAGTCAAACATTTGTGAATATGTTTATAAACTGTTCTTGATCATTCTGTCCTTCGTGAAAGGTAATGTGACATTTTAATTTGAAATTAGCTATTAATTTTACTAGAAACTGTTCTGCAGAAACTGAGTTGAATGGATGTTATAGATCAGATTTTTTAACTCATCATCATTTATATTAATATTTTTAATACATGAATATTACCCTCTGAGTATCCAAATATAGAAGAAAAAATCGATGTATGTCTCTTCCATACACACACAACTTGTAGTTGAATTTACCTGGATGCATTATTTACAGAGGTTATTTGTAGAATTAGGAACTTTGTTTCCTACGGTCCTGATCAATTTACCTTTACATAAAAATCCAGTTAGAAAGCCAAACTGACTGCAGAAAGCCTATCTGTAAAAATGAATGCTGAAACATTACAGTAGTTCCCTTATGTTAGCTTCATTAGATCTTAAAAGCAACTCTGGAAGAGGCTCTGGAAGAGCAAATTTTCAAATCTAATGTCTAACCAACCTTAATTATGGAAAGTGTCTATATGTAAACCATTAAAATCATTCTAAATCATATTTTAAAAAAAATGTGCTGTCTTAAATTCCTTAGAGTTTCTTTCAATTTATTATTATAAATTGTGAACTAATGCTTGACTTCTTCACTGTATATCTATATTTTTGTGCTAATAAACAAAAGAGAGAGTAGAAATGTTTTCTGTAATAATTACAGCAAAAAACATTTTATGTGTTCAATAAATATTTGTTAAATAAATCAGAAAGAGTAATTCACATAGTTATATCCATGGGGCACTTCAAACTAATTTAACATAAATATGTGAATAAGAATTTTAATTTTTGGTTTACAATAAGAGGTAACCAGGAATGTTGATACAATTTTTTTAAATACAGAATGTCATATTTTAAAATTGTAACAATGTCACCTAAAAGTAAGTACTTTTTTAGATGGTATGGATAGGCTTTTGTAGTTTTTTTTCCATCTTTCCATTTGTATCCATATTTTACATTTTCTATAATTATTTTCATTAATGAATTTTTAATAGGGATTAATTCTGCAATTCAGTTAGATTGGACATTAAAACAATATAAAACTAAAAAATAAAAATTTAGGAGGATAAACCTTTTTTCATAATATTAACTGAAGATTTATGTTAATATCTTAGGCTTTTCAAATTAATATACTCTCACTTTGTCTTTAATCAAAGGATTCACTTCCTTTAAAACCATTGTCATAGTTCTGACTTAGGAACATTATTAGAAAAATACCAGTTTTTAGGACCTGGGCGTGGTTGCTCACGCCTGTAATCCCAGTACTTTGGGAGGCTGAGGTAGAAGGATTGCTTGCAACCAGAAATTAGGGACTGCAGTGAGCTATGATCGTGCCACTGCACTCCAGCCTGCGTGACAGAGCAAGACCCTGTCTCTTAAAAAGACAAAAAATAAATAAATAAATAAAAGGAAAAAAAGAAAAAGAATATTCATTTTTTAGCATTAGATTTTTTTTAAACAGAGCTCAGGTTAACACTTTTAAAGTGAGGCCAGGCACAGTGGCTTATGCCTGTAATCCCAGCACTTTGAGAGGCCAAGGTGGGTGGATCACCTGAGGTCAGGAGTTCAAGATGAGCCTGGCTAATATGGTGAAATCGCATCTCTACTAAAAGTACAAAAATGTGCTGGGTGTGGTGGCGGGCACCTGTAATCCCAGCTAGTGGGGAGGCTGAGGCAGGAGAATTGCTTGAACCTGGGAGGCGGAGGTTGCAGTGAGCTGAGATTGCACCACTGCACTCAAGCCTGGGCGACAGAACGAGATTCTGTCTCAAAAGACAAAAACAAAACAAAAGCAAAACAAAACAACACAAGAACAAAAACTTAAAATGGTAGAAGTTCATATTGGGTAATTTTGTATTTTGTAACACAATCTCAGAAATAATTCATACGTAAGAATAGATGATGCTTGGAGATATAATTATTTGGAGAACATGGACACTAAAATTAGCTAAGAATTCATAGTCTTAACCAAAATAATGTTCATGTGTTAAACTTGCAAATACTATAAAGTGTTTTTTAACAGAGCATAATCTCTTAGGATAATGAAAAATTTTGGAGATGGATGGTGGTGATGGTTGTAGAACAATGTGAATGTACTTAATGCCAACAAATTGTACACTTAAAAATAGTTAAAATAGTAATCATTATGTACATATTATCACAGTCAAAAAAGAAGATTATATCTCTGTCTGCTTTATCACTATTAATAATAGATGTGGTCTCTTCTCACTGTACCACTATTAGACTGCCCCCATGAATGTTACAATGTGTTAACACATAATGAGTGGATTAAGAGCAGAGTTTTATAAAATTACTTCAATTAGCTTTTTTTTATTTTTGAAACATATACTCTCTGAAAATCTGATGCAATTTATGGATCACATTCTCAGAAAAATGCACAAGTTCATAAACTCTTAATATTCAAATTCAGCATTCAATTTTGATTAGTATACCATTTCAATAGAGGGCCTTTAATATTTATCCGTGAATGTTTAAGTTAAGAAGCCTTTCCAAAGTAGACAAAATATGTCTAGGCCAGTAAAGCATGATGGCTGTATGATTGCATAGGCTGTACTTACAACCCTAAACATTATTATGTCAATTAAAGGGGGTTAATCAATGTTAGATTGTAATGAAAGTTGCATCATCTAGAAAAACACTGACACCAAGATAAATTTCTCTAACTCAGGAACTCCACCTCTCTCTTGTGGTGATGGATGTATGGGGTATTCCTAATCTGATGCTGCAAAACTGCATTAATGTAAGCAATTAATACATTTACTTTTGCTTGGGGACCTACATTCAACAACAAATTTTTGGCTTAGAGAAAATTCCTCACACAGATTGTCTGTGTGGCACTAATGTACTAGCCAGATGATATGGCCAATTTTACTCCCTTGGAAGTTTATAGTTCTAAACGTCCATATATAAGTCTTATCCTGACAATTCTTGCCAGTTCCTTTGTAGCAGGACAAGCTGCAGACAAAACCCCTCAGACACCAAGTTAAAGAAGGAAGGGCTTTATTCAGCCGGGAGCTTCAGCATAACTCATGTCTCCAACAACCAAGCTCCCCGAGTGAGCAATTCCTGTCCCTTTAAAGGGCTCACAACTCTAAGGGGGTCAGCATGAGAGGGTCGTGATCGATTGAGCAAGCAGGGGGTACGTGACTGGGGGCTGCATGCACTGGTAATTAGAATGGAACAGAACAGGACAGGGATCTTCACAGTGCTTTTCTATACAATGTCCGTAATCTATAGATAACATAACCAATTAGGTCAGGGGTCGATCTTTAACTACCAGGCCCAGGGTGTGGTGCTGGGCTGTCTGCTTGTGGTTTTCATTTCTGCCTTTTAGTTTTTACTTCTTCTTTCTTTGGAGGCAGAAATTGGGCATAAAACAATATGAGGGGTGGTCTCCTCCCTTATTCCCCAGCTTTGAGAATCTCACTCAATAGTGGGATTTCTCACTTTCATTCTCACTACCCATGTCTTCTTGCAAGACAGATGGATAGTGATTCATATAGTACCCTTGTGCTGAAGCATTTTGGTGAACTAAGGTAGTGATGAAGCTTTTTATCATTTGAAGTACAGGTAGCAAACAAGGGAGCAGTAAGCAGGTTCCTATTACTATTATAACTCCTATTATAAGAGTTTTAAATCCTCCTAGTGCTGGGAATCATTTTCCGAACACGGCCCCAGGATCAAATCCATGCCACACTTGCACAGGCACGTGTGCCAGTTTTGTCATATCTCTAACTATGTCTTCAACGACTTGCCCTTGATCATCTATGTGTAGACAGCAATTAATAAGGTTAAATTTCCCACAGATCTCTTCTTCAGCTGCTAGCAAGTAGTCGAGAGCCAATCTATTTTGATAGATAGCATTTCTCATCTGAGTTTCTTGCCGGGCCAGAATAGTCAAGGCTCTGCTGGTTTTATTAGTGATTATTTCTGAGACAGCTTGTAACCGTATGATTTGGTTGGTCATGTAAATGGGAGTCCGGTATCCCCACAAGCCATCTTGTACCCAAGTAGCAGGCTCATAATATTGTATGATTCTCTCAGGGGGCCATTCATCGTCTTTCCAATTTCCTATAGCTATGCTTTCTTTTTGCGGGAAGCATAGACAGGGAAGCCCAGGAGTTCGCCTGTTTTTATGGGCAGTAGGAAGAAAGATGGTTTAATAGTGCCAATAACACAACTACCTGCCCACCAGTCAGGTAATTTTGTGTAAGCTCTATGCCCACATATCCACTATAATCCAGTGGGGGCTGACCAATACTGGTGGGACTCCGGGTGGGTCCACACGGTTTGCAACTTTGGGAATTTACTAAATGGATTCCTCTCTGTGTGATTTGAACTCCACCAAGTGACTGTTTTTGTGGTACCATTATACAGTTTCTGTCCCAGACAACTAAGTCATCCTACAGGGTGAGTGAATTCTTTTCCTTCTCTAGCTATGCAATATTGTCCAATAATTGAGGCTTTTAGGACCCAGAAATTATCAGGGTGATTCCTTTGAGCCGGGAATTCATCAGGAACTGGGCCTATAGATAATAGTTCTTGGGCTTCCCATGGACGTTGATCTCCCATTACAGTTCCTCCACATACGTAACATGAAGTGACATTGAGAGACTGGGCTACACGCTCAGCTAATTGCAAAAACAAATTTCTTGTTTTTCCTGGAATTTCTGGTACTGGCACATTTAGTTCATCATAGAAAGTTTGAAACACTGGCTCAGGAGAGTGTTTATAAACTTCTCCTCGAATCAAGATATTTACTTGAGGATCCAGTCCGGCCCCTTCGATTCCTAAGGTCACACGCTCCCCTTTTCTCCAGCAAGGATCAAGGGGATTGGTTATTACTAGCTCTAAGGGGTTACATTGTTCCTTAGTACAGGAAGGGCCATTTTTTCCTTTCTGAAGGTGGACTGGATCCTTTTCATTTTTTATCCAAGTGGCCTAAGTGACACAAGACCAGTATCCACATTCATTTCCACACAGTCCTAATTCATGACAAATGTACTTATTTTCAGTCATATAGCCTTTTTCCCAACTAAAAGAGCCACATCCCCTTCCTAACTTATTGCTATTAATGGCAGCACAGGCATCAAATTTCAAGATTATGCGTTTAGGCACCCGTTTTTCTTCTGTTCTGGCTAATACTTTACTTGTCTCATTTATGAGTCCCCACCAGTCTTCTGTCCTTAATCTTATTTCAAAAACTGTGGACATGGGAGGCTCAGAGGGGTCATAACACACATCTGGTTTGTCGTTTCCAGGGCTACATACCTTGCACTGAGTGTCATTATATAAACATGTTCCTTTAAAGTTCCTAGGCATTCATAGTAACTATAGAACAGAAAGACTGTTTTAACTTGTTGCCCTACCTCGGTAACCTGATGTATACACTGAGAGCAGTCCTCCATGTGGGGAAAATCAGTGGAATTTTTTACTATACAAGTCCAAATTATAAGGAAAATGAGGTCCACAGTGATTCTCCTCATGCTTCGGCTGTGCGTAGACCAGTCAGCTTCCGGGTGTGACTGGAGCAGGGCTTGTCGTCCTCCTCAGAGTCACCTTGCAAGGGTTGTCTGTGCTCAGTTTTGCCTCCCAGGTTTCAGCGGCTGCAGGTTTCACACGGCTGTGATGGATTCAGGCTGGGATTTCTTCTACCTTTACAGCCGTGGGGGTGTTCAGGATGACGGTCTGAGGTCCTTTCCACCGTGGCCGCAAAGGGGCTACATTCCAGTCCTTGATCCACACATGATCACCTGGAGAGAAAGGGTGAACTGGGTAGAATAAGCTGATGGGACACCTCCCATTTACCCAAGTTGAGATTGTATAATTTTTCCTAAAGCCTGTAGCTGTCGCTGTAATTCAATTTCACCTAACTCTCGGGGAATGCCTGGAAGCTCCCGCAGTATAGGAGGAGGCCTATGATACAGTATTTCATAAGGGGAGTATCCTGTTTTCTTAGAAGGAGTGCATCTAATTTTAAACAATACCATAGGAAGGGCCTGTATCCACTTTAATCCTGTTTCCTGTCATAGTTTCCCTGAACTATTTTTGATAGTCCGATTCATTCGCTCCACCTTTCCGGAACTCTGAGGTCAGTAGGTGACATTTAGCTTCCAAGTGATTCCTAATGCCTTTGCTTCTTCTGTACCAAGTCAGCCACAAACTCCGGCCTGTTATCTGAGTCAATTCGTAAGGACAGTCCAAACCTAGGAGTAAGATCTCAGAGAAGCACACGGTTACCTCATAGGTCTTTTCAGTTCATGTTAGATAAGCCTCCACCCACCCAGAATAAGTACACACAAGAACCAGCAAATACTTGTTACCTCCACATTTCGGCATTTCTGTGAAATCCACCTGAAGATCCTCAAAAGGAGCCACTCCATAAGCTTATATGCCGGGCAGAACAGTGGGGCCTTGCCTCACATTGTGCTGTCAGCAAGTAATGCACCGTTGTGCTACTGCTTTGGCAAGGGCTGGCAAGTGTGAGATGTAGAAGTACCGGCCTAACAATTTTTCAAGTGACTCTTGACCTAGATGAGTGGTTTCGTGCATGGCCAGTATGATTGTGGCTCCCAGCAACTGTGGCACACCTACCCTCCCATCTGGCAGTCTGACCCATCCTCCTTTTATTACCTGCCCCCCTTCTGCATGGAAGAAGTCTTTTTCTTCCTTAGAATAGGTAGGTACCAGGTCAGGTGTTTGAGGGAGTAAGGGGGCTGCTACAGATGCCTGGTAAAGGGTAGATGCTGCTTTTTGAGCTTCTGAATCAGCTTGAGAGTTTCCTAAGGCCACTGAGGTGGAGGCTCGCTGGTGTACCCTGCAGTGCATGACTGTCACCTTCTGAGGTTCCACACTGCCTCTAATAATTGTAAAATTTCTTGTTGATATTTTATGTCCTTTCCCCCAGAGTTTAACAGGCCCTTTTCCTTATATAATGCTCCATGCACTTGGAGGGTTAGAAAGGCATATCGAGAGTCAGTGTAGATGTTTACAGTCTTACCTTCACTGAGTTCTAGAGCCCGAGTTAAAGCAACGAGCTCAGCCTTCTGGGCTGAATTGCCCTGTGGCAACGGTTTGGCTTCAATGACAGCATCCAAAGTTACCACCACACATCCTGCACATCTTTCTCCTTGTGGGTTGATGAAGCTGCTCCCATCCATGTATAACTCTCAGTCTACTGATGCCCACGGCTAGTCCTGAAGGTCAGGTCTGCTAGAATAGACTGAGTCCAACACCTGTACACAGTTATGCTCGACGGGGGTCTCTGATACTGGTAGCAGGGTGGCGGGATTTAGGGTGTTACAGACTTCAATAGTTAGGCGGGGATTTTCACATAGCAAGCTTTGGTACTTGGTTAATCTAGCATTTGTTAGCCAATGATGTCCTTTGGTATTCATCAAAGTTACCACAGCATGGGGGGCCTTTATATTCAGGTTTTGCCCAAGGGTTAGTTTATCTGCTTCTTGTGCTAACAGGGCTGTTGCTGCCAGGGCCCTTAGACATGGTGGCCAGCCTTTGGAAACCCCATCAAGTTGTTTTGAGAGATAGGCCACTGGCCTTGGCCAGGGCCCCACAGTCTGGGTTAAAACTCCAACTGCCATTTTTTCTCTTTCTGACACATAGAATGTAAAGGGCTTTGTCAAATCTGATAGTCCTAGGGCTGGGGACGACATAATTTTTTCCTTTAACTTACAAAAAGCTTGCTGCTGTAGAGGCCCCCATTCAAAATGCTCCCAGTCTCCCCTCTTTGTGACCCCATACAAAGGTTTGGCTAGTACTGCAAAGTTTGGAATCCATAATCTGCAAAACCCCACAGCTCCTAGGAATTCCCTTACTTTCCTTCTGGTTCTAGGTTCCGGTAGGCTGCAGATGACCTGCTTTCTTTGTGACCCCAGGCTGCGCTCCCCTTTCCGAATTGTGAATCCCAGGTAGCGTGCCTGCTGTCTGCAGATCTGAGCTTTCTTCTTGGATACCTTATACCCACAGTCCTCCAGGTGCCAAAGCAGAGCATCCATCCCTTTTGCACAGCCGACTGCCGTGCAGTGTCCCAGCAGAAGCTCGTCCACATACAGGAGAAGACACAGCCTAGGTCTTTGGCAGGAAATTTTTGCAGGTCTCAAGCCAGGGCCTCCCCAAAGATAGTAGGGGAGTTCTTGAACCCTTGGGGAAGCCAGGTCCAAGTGTACTGAGTAGTGACACCTGACTCTGCATCTTCCCACTGAAAGGCAAACAGCTTCTGGCTCTCAGGAACTAGTCTGATGCTAAAGAAGGCATCTTTTAAGTCCAGACAGGTAAACCAGATGTCATAGCTTGCAGTAGCCCTAACAATGTGTAAGGGTTAGGAACTGTTGGGTGCAGAGTCACTGTAGATTGGTTGACCAAGCGCAAGTCCTGTACTGGCTGGTAGTCCTTGGTCCCTGGCTTAGGGACAGGCAGGAGGGGGGTGTTCTGTGGAGACTGGCAAGGAACTATAATTCCATAGGTTTCAAGTGCCTGAGATAAACCTGGATTCCTTTGAGAGCTTCTCTGGGAACCAGATACTGCTCCTGTCTAATTGGTTGGGCCCCAGGCTTAACTTCTATGAGTACCGGGGCTTGGTTGACCGCCAGTCCCGGAGGATTATCCTCTGCCCATACTCAGAGCCATTGCTTAGCAAGAGCTGGTTTTATCTCTTGGCCTGGCTTGGTTATAAAAAGTCTCCATTCTTCTTCCTGGGGGACCGTAAGGGCCATGATAACTTCTGTTCCTGGTAACTTTAGCTGTAAAGAGCCCTGTTTTGTAAAGGAGATGGTGGCTCTCAGCTTGCTAAGCAAGTCTCTTCCCAGCAAGGACAAGGCACAGTCAGGCATGTACAAGAACTGGTGAACTATTTCATGTCCCCCCACCGAGCAGGTCCATGGTAGATAGAAAGCCTGCTTAGTGGAAACTCCTGTTGCCCCGATTATATCAATGGTTTTCTTGGATAAGGGGGTAACCGTGGTGGTCACTACTGAATGTTCAGCACCGGTATCGACCAAAAACTTAATGTCCTTGCCCCCAATTGTAATCCTGACCATGGGCTCCTTGGGGGCGCTTGAGTCCCATCCCCTTCAGTCCAGTAGCCCTTCAGCCAGATTGAACAAAGCTCCCTCATCTTTATCTGAGGTCTTTTGTTCCAAATCACCTTGCTTTTCCTTCAGCTGGGGACACTTATCTTTCTAATGTCCTATTTCCTTACAATAGGCCATTGGTTACTTTGCAAGCGTGGGCGACTAGACTGGGTATTCTTCCCGGAACCCACCTTTCCCTCTCCTTTTGGGGGAATTCCCCTAATGGCCATGGCCAGTAAGTTGGCGTTTTGCCTAGGCTGGCGTTCACCTTCCTTACGGCTTTCTCTGCAGCTTGTTGCATCTCCATTCACAAACACTTGATTGGCTATTTCCAGTAACTGTGAGGTATTCATATCCACAAACCCAGGCTGTTTTTGCAATTTTCTCCTGATTTTTTCCACACTTTGACTAACTAAGGCCATGTTAATCATGCACTGATTTTCAGGGCTATCTGGATCAAAAAGAGTGTACATACAGTGAACCTCACACAGTGTTAGAATTGCGCTGGACTCTCCTCTTTTCCTTGGATGACCTCAGAGACCTTATTTACATTTGTAGCCTTTTGAGCCCCTTTCTTTAGACCTTCTATAAATACCTCACGGTACCATCTTAGCCTCTCCATGTCTGGTCTTTCGTTTGGGTCCCATTGGGGGTCTGTTCCTGGCAGCTGAATTCTTATATATTCTTGGGGGTTTTGGTAATCGGCTGGGACGTGCTCCTCTAGCCACTTAGTTGCGCCTGGAACACCCTTCACCTTTCATCTGTATTAAAGAGGTACATGAGCAGCTGACGGCAATCAGCCCAAGTAGGATTATGAGTCCGTATAATAGTTTGGAGCAAGTCAATTAAAGCTTGAGGCTTTTCAGTGTAAGATGGAGTATTATTTTTCCAATTGAGGAGGTCAGCAGAGGTGAAAGGTTGATACACAAAAGCATGCCTTTCCACCATGTGTCCATCCTCATCTACCCCAGTATATTGCTGCTCTCTCAGGGGCATTTGGATTCCAGTCTTGGGGCATAAGCGAGCTGCCAAGGCAGGAGTTTCTCCCGCAGCTTCACTTCCTCTTTTTTCTACTCTGGGTGGTCTAGGGGTGTGGTTATCTGGTGGAGGTGTAGGTGCTGTGGCCTCAGGAGTGGGGAGCCCTTCCTCTCGATAAGGAGGGGGTACTGCTAGTACCAATTCCTGCCATGATTCTTCTGGTGTTGAGTCAGACACGACTTTTGGTGCTGACTTCCCTCCGCGGGTGGAGTGAGAACCTTCCTTAACTAACTATCCGTTTGCTACTAATACTGCTCCTGCCTGTCCTCTTAACCACTCTGGGGGGCCCAAAACTAGCTGTAACCAAGAATCTATATATAGGAACTGATCCGGGTGCCCTGGCTTACAGGTTACCCTGTGCCCTACCTTCGAGACAAGGGACCTGTCCAGGCTTCCTTCTGATGGCCAACCCACCTCTAATCCTGGCCAGTCTATCTCACACAAACTTCTAAGTTTTCCTGGTGTCATAGTGACTCCATAGTCTCTCTTAAATCCCTTTCTGAAATTTTTAAACATAGTTCCTAGTGGGGTGGGCTTACTTTGTGCCTGACCCATGTTTCCTCAAGGCAAAACACCACACTCACACCACATGCACACCACCAAACAATGGGTTAAAAGGGCACACACACACTTTTACAGTTTACACCAAACCAGAATCAAAACCAAAATAAGAGTATCCAGAAATCCAAGCCAGGTCAAAACCAAAACCAAAGTATCAAGCAATCCAAGTCAAGTCAAAAACAAAAACCAAAGTACTAGTATAGGCATGCTGTGGGTGATCAGGTCACACTTCCACTCAAATGGAGTGGGCAATTTCCAAAGACTAGTCTTACCAAGTTTCAGTTGTCTGGACTCCAAGTGCCAGTTCCTTTTTGGTGTTCGGCCACTGCATTGATCCTCCATGGGGGCCTGCCATATGCTGCTCTGGCGAGACGTTCCACTGGGGCAATTGCCTACCCAGGAGTGCTCTCAGGATCCTCGTCGCTCAAGCTGGCCGGAGTCCCCCACAGGCACGCTCCACAGGGCAGGCCTAAGTCACCTAAGGGGCTGCCTCAACCATCCATCGATCACCTCGCTTCCTGGTCAGGGAACCAAGAAATGTAGCAGGACAAGCTGCAGACAAAACCCCTCAGACACCAAGTTAAAGAAGGAAGGGCTTTATTCAGCTGGGATCTCACGTCTCCAACAACTGAGAGCCCCAAGTGAGCAATTCCTGTCCCTTTTAAGGGCTCACAACTCTAAGGGGGTCCACGTGAGAGGGTCGTGATCGATTGAGCAAGCAGAGGGTACGTGACTGGGGGTTGTATGCACTGGTAATCAGATCGGAACAGAACAGGACAGGGATTTTCACAGTGCTTTTCCATACAATGTCCGGAATCTATAGATAACATAACTGATTAGGTCAGGGGTCTATCTTTAACTACCAGGCCTAGGGTGTGGTGCTGGGCTGTCTGCTTGAGGATTTCATTTCTGTCTTTTAGTTTTTACTTCTTTCTTTAGAGGCAGAAATTGAGCATAAGATAATATGAAGGGTGGTCTCCTCCCTTACCTTAAAACAGAGATTAAGGAAGGTTTATATCAGGTTGCAAGTTGAGGTAATGTTTTCTTCAAACTACCTTTAAACTTCTTTGTCACCCATGGCCACTTCTTGCTCCTGAGCCATAGCTTCTAGACATTCAGGTAAATAATGAAATTATTAGGTTTTCTTAAAATAGATATTAGAAAAGGTAAAACAAACTCTCCAGCAAGATCTTATTATGTGTTAGAAACCGGGAGGTTAAACCTAATTTGGCTTAAGAAATGTACTTCTTACTTAGCTTGCTTTCTTAAAAAAATCTGTATTGCAAAAATATGTATTTATTGTAACAGTTCAAACTTTGCCTTTTTTTTTTTTTTTTTTTTTTTTAGACAGTTTCGTTCTGTCACCTAGGCTGGAGTGCGGTGGTGTGATCTTGGCTCACAGCAACCTCCACCTCCCAGGTTTAATTGATTCTCTTGCCTCAGCCTACCGAGTACCTGGGATTACAGGCACCCACCACCACACCTGGCTAATTTTTGTATTTTTAATACAGACAGGGTTTCACCGTGTTTGCCAGTCTGATCACGAACTCCTGACCTCAGGAGATCTGCTCACCTCGGCCTCCCAAAGTGCTGCGATTACAGGCATGAGCCACCGTGCCTGGCCTATTAACATTAATATTGAGAACAAAGAAGCTAATAAGATGTTCTGAAGAGGCAGAAGAATGTTAGGGCTCAGCATAAGAACTCTGGAGTCAGTCTGTGCTTGAATTTCAGCCTAATTGTTATATAACATAGAGCAAATTACTTATCCTGTCTGTGCTTATGTTTCCTTATAGGGAAATAATATTATTTGCCACAGGAAGTTATGAGTACTACACATATAGAGTTCTTAGAATAATTTTTAGAATATAGTAAATGCTCAATAATTAGCTATTAACTAGTTGGCACGTAATTTTGGAATTTATCTAAATGTGTACTACTATACAGAAGAATAATCACAAAATCTGGAGAATTCGCAACAGTCATTTTAGTTATTTTTTCAAGTTTTATTCTACCACATCAATGACCGTTCACTGAAGAAACCTAGCAGATCATGACATAATAAGTCAAAAGTGCCATTCTATAAAATGCCAAATTGACCATAAATTTATTTGAGATTTTTTTAAAGTTTTTTTCTCCAAATTTAGTTACCTTTTAAAGTGTAAAGCCTCACATAAACCAACACTTGGTAGTTGTTTATGTTCCTGGAACTTTTTGATGATATTTTTGCTATCACTGAATCTTGAGATGAGGGTGAAATGAAGGATTCGCTTCTCCTCATCCTCTTCCTCCCCTTCCATCTTGGAACCAGATTACAGAGTTTGTATATCCTGTCCTTAAAGTCCTTTAAAAACAAAAATCCTTTTGTCAAATCTTGCGCACCATGGTTCTTTAACATTCTAAACCTGCTACGGTTGCTGGAATAGTTTATTATAAAAAGAAAAGACAAGGGGAAAAAAAGAAAAAAATCCTGAGCTCACAAATAGGCTGTTGTGGAGCTAGAGCTTAAAGAGGCTCTGCTATTAGGTATATTTCATAATACGAAAAGACGGGCTGATTTTAGCCCCCTCACCTGGTGGGATCAATCCTGTCAGTGTCATTTATTTGCAATCCGTTGTGATTTCTGTGTCCCACAACCCTTTTGCATGAAAATGAACCATAAAGGCAGTCAAAACACCTGCTTTCCCGACAAGACCGATTAATGCTTTGATTTATCCCTCTAAGTAGGAGCTAGCCTGCCGCTACAAGGGCCTTGAGTTGGCATATAATTCATGAGACTTTGAAGGTCTTCTTTTCTGTGTCCCAGAGTTTCAATTGTGGGTGTCTTTTGCATATACTAGAGACCTCTATTAACTCCCAGAACACTCAGTAAAGCTGGAAGCCAGAGTTTTTAGTCAACATTGGTTCAGGTATCTTCAGTTATTAAGTGACTGTAAATTATTGGCATCATTTGAAAGGCCTTCAGAATATATAGATGGGCATTTCTCAGGACCTCACTTAACTCCAAGAATCCAGAAAAAGAAAATAGGCATCCCGTAGTTTACTTCAAATTTATTCTCTTTGTAGTCTTCTAAAGTTGACACTTGTCTTATTTTTTGTGTGTTATAAACAGGCAAGCTTGAGAGTGGTGTTCATATCATTGAAGCAGAACGCAGTACTCTTTCTACTTCTGGACACAGGGCATTGAAAATCTCCTTCAGTGTCTTTATCTCTTAGGAAAGGAAATGGATCTACAATGCCATTAAACTTGGGTAAAATGCTCATGTTACAGGATATAATTGCAGATCATAATATAAGTAATTGTAAGATTAGTTAATCTTGAAAATTAAACCAATATGCCTGAGTTCAGAAGACATTACTTGGTAAGATGCCTCTTTCCATTGTCATACTTAAAAGAATAAATTTATTTTGTCTTTCCTAATTGAACTGTTTAAATACATTTCTTTTAATGAGACATGGAAAAAACATTTTCTCCCATTTAATTCCAAAGCCTTTCAAGCCATTTTTAGAAATTTGGTACTTGAGACTGTATCATTTCAGCTTAAATAAGTTTGAAGGAGTATTTCATGAATGCTCTACAAATTAGCGTTTTTCTTGCTCTAAAGGATGAGCCTTCTGTATAGTGGTGGTGCAAAATGATACAGTCATTAGAAAGACAGTTGCAGTGGAAGGCTGTGAAAGGAAAAGAAAAAGAGAATTCACTAAAAGGCAAGATAGCTTTAGAATGAGATGAATATTTGAAATCTTACTAAAAAATGAATATCTTGAATGACATACTTCTGAATACTGGTAATGCAAAGTGGTCAGCTTCAACATAAAACTATTTGTTGATATTCTGCTATATTCCAGGAACATACAAAAAACCCCATTAAGTTATTATAAAACTGAGGATAAAACTTCAACAATTTGCAGAAATGCATAGCAAGCCAGTATTGCAAAACTGGGCAAGCTCCAAAGCTAATTGTCTTTCCACCATACCCCACAGCAGTGAACAGTTTAGGCATGGACATGGGGGTTTCTACATGTGCCTTTGGAGAAGGCAAGTAATTAAAGTTCAGAGATCGTTTATATTTTTCAGCTTTTAGAAAGTGCTAGTGCTTATAGCTTCAAAACCTTCTGCAGCTGGTCCTATTCCTGCAAATGTGTGTTTCTGCTGAGAATTTGGCTCTCCTCCAAGGACATGCATAGATAAAACCAAAGGCCTGGGTAAAGTCTTAGCTTCAAGTCAGTTCAAAGGCCTGAGGGGACATCCAATTTGTGCTGTATTTATGTTTAGTTAAAATGACCTGGTTTAAAGTACCCTGCAGCTTCCTAGCAGGATCAACTTTGCAAGGATTAACAAGTCAAAAAAATAAAAACAGAAAAGCTTTTCTTCCTTTTTTGGCTTTGTTTAATGAATTATCAGCAGACAAATAACAGAGGGCTGCTATAAAATCATTTGTGGGATTTCTTTTTATCTAAGTGAAGGAGAAATACTTGTAACTAAAAGTGAAGATTTGCTGAATTTATGAATCTCTTTACATCTGAAAGCCTAAAGAAATTTTTTGATAGGAAAGAAACTGGAGTTAATTAAAGTCTGGTGGTGCTCATGTAATCAGAGTATTAGTATTAGCATATCAGTTGAAATGAAAAAGCTAAATCAAGTTTCTATGAGAATAGGAGGCTGAATGCATAGTTGTTATCAGCTTGAACTCAAATACCAGACTGTCTGGATAAGATTCCAGCTATTCCCCTACCATTTGCAAGACCTTAACCCAGTTATTAAACCATTCTGATCCTGAATACTATATTCTGCACACAAGGATTCTAATAGGACCATTTTAATTAGACAATTTTCACAGATGCAAAGTTCCTCTTGCATAGGAAACACTCAGCAAAGGTTACCTATTACTGTTACAAATAAGAACTAATGCTTAGTGGGTAGTAGAATAGATGTCAACCCCATTCTTAAAGATGAAGGAGCTAAGACTCCAACTTTGAGAACAACAAGAGAGAAATTAAAAACATGTAGCTTACTCTAAACCTCTGCTCTTTCTAAGATCCCTTAGTAGTTAAGACATAAATGAGGGTAGGCTTACTGCTTTTTCATGAACATGTTTCTATGGTCATGAATATGCTTCCCAATACCATCTGTCACCAACAGGCTGGTGAGCAAAACTTAATCATCACTTATTTCAAGTTAAATTAAATTAAGTATTCAGCACAATTGCTATAGTTTGAATGTCTCCCCCAAAGTACATGTTTTGGAAAATTGACTCCCAATATGGCAGTGTTGGGAGGTGGGACCTAAAGAGAAGTGTTTGAGTCATGGCGGCACTGTCCTTATGAGAGGATTAATGTTGTTATTGCAGGAGTGGATTCATTACCGCTGGAGTGCGTTCCTTATCAAAGGATGAGTTTAGCCCACTGCTGCTCTCTCTCGCCCTCTCTTTGCCCTCTCAATACAGATTGATGAACAAGAAGCCCCTTCCCGATGCTGGCCCCTCAGTTTTGGACTTCTAGCCTCCAGAATTGTAAGCCAATAAATTTCTTCCATTTCAAGCTAGCCAGATTCAGGTATTCTTTTACAGCAGCACAAAAATGGGCTAAGACAACTATGCTATTTTATACAGGAGAACTATTATCATTGAATGCCTTTTAATGCATTGAAATGCAAAAGATTTGGGTTTTCCTAACAGTTATTTCTTTGCATCATTTGGTGCATTCCCTGCACCTACTAGCCTTGAAAGTATTTTTTCAGAATAGTTCATAAATCAATAATATCAATTTATCTTGGATAATCAATGGAGATTAAATTTAATGTGCACAAATCTTTTTAAGAATCTATTAATATTTTACTTTTTTCCATAAAATATATTTCTATTAAAAAGGCAATACATTTGTATTAAAGTACATTTGGAAAACAGAGATTAAACAGGAACAAAAATGCACTAATTCCACAAAAGAAAATAAGTTAATATTTTGGTGTATTTCCTTCCACTTATTTCTAGAAATAAGTGGTTATTTCTTTATGTGATCATATTCAATTAGGTATTTTAATTATATGAGGAGTGTGATGCTGACATTATTCCAAACCATATTATTCACACATATCTTTTCCCTTGTGTTTGATACATGTTTATACCTCAAGGAAGCAGCATGGTGCTCATAAAGATTTAACTGAAAGGAACTACGTAAGTAGTAATTTGGTTCATCCCTTTGACTATTTAGGAGACTTACTGGAGTAGTTTTCATTGAAATGACAGCACTTCTTTTCCTTCCATAATCATCTAGATTCCTTACATTAGAAGAGCAGTCTTTGCTGTGGAGGACAAAACAGTTTTAATGGTTTATGCCTTCAAAAAATCTTTTTTTCTGGGAAATGAAATATCTATTGCTCTATTGTATGCATTAGATATTTAAATAATTTTTCTAATTATTATTGGTTGAACTAAATGAGGCAATGAGCTCACAAGGCTACATACACAGTTAAACCTTTATTCTAGTAGTAAATCCTAGTAGAATGATCTTTCATTAGTGAACAATATTGTTCACAAATTGGTGTACATTAAATCAATTATTGGGTTCAAGGGGACCCAGCTTCTTAATTACAAGATGGGTTAGAATTCTGGCCCTGTCACTCTGAGACAATGGGCAGTTTGTGCCTGAGTTTATTTTACAGGGTAGATACTGTAGAAACATGAAAGCTACTAATGCAAAGAAATAAAATTATGTTATGTTTCAGTAATTTTCTAAAATCTTATAAGCTATAAACATGGATTCTGTGTGTTTATTTGTTTTGTATTTGGGGAATATTCTTTAGGTAAAGATGGTTTGGAAGGGGATTGGCTATATCACATAGCACTTTCACACTGACTGGATTCAATCGTTCATGCACGTGAGTCACCTTAAACTAGGAGCATCATCCTAAATATTACCAGTGCCTACAAGCTGTAGAGATTTAATAATTTATTTTTTGAACACATACATTAAGTAATGTGGCTACTTAGGAGTGATTACCTTTTTGGTGACAAACATCAACGCAGGGAGTAACAAAGAAAGTAAAAATAAAATTATCTCCATTTTCTAGGGCACGAGTCAATAAACTTCTTATGTAAAGGAGCAGGTAATACATGTTATCTGCTTTGCAGGCCATATAATCTCTGTTGGAACTATTCAACTCCACCACTGTGCAAAAACATTAAAAGATGATGCACTAATGAATGGGTGTGGCTGTGATTCAATAAACTATATTTACAAAATTACTCAGCAGTGAGTCTGGATTTGGCTGTAGCTTTCTGACCCCACTCTTGAGAATAGAATTATCCTTCTCTGATGGTAAATAAACTTAACATGTACAAAATCCAAGTAAGGTGTTCACTTGTAGCCTCAAAATCTCCAGCCTTATTTATCACACTGACTAACAGAGACAAAAAATATTGTGCAAACCTAAAATCACTGATATTTCTCAAAAGCTTTTGTATAGAATATATGACCACTTTCTAATACATCTTTTGAAGAGCTTTCCAATTACTCTGGTTAAAGTGAATATTACATTTCACCTGCAAAACATGTGAAACTAACCTCCAACTGGCTTATTCATAACTAAATTGTCCTCCTTGTCATCCACTCTGCACTGTACAGTCATGGTGTTCCTTTCAAAACTCAATCAGTTGGCTGGCATAGTGGCTCATGCCTGTAATCCCAGCAGTCTGGGAGGTGGATCATTTGAGGTCAGGAGTTCAAGACCAGCTTCACCCCATTCAAGATAGGGTGAAACTCAGTCTCTACTAAAAATACAAATAATTAGCCATGTGTGGTGGTGTGCGCCTATAAACCCAGCCACTCTGGAGGCTGATGCAGGAGAATCGCTTGAACCCCGGAGGCAGTGGTTACAGTGAGCTGAGATTGCACCACTGCACTCCAGCCTGGGCCACAGAGTAAGACTCTGTCTCAGAAAACAAAAACAAAAACAAAAACAAAAAAACCCCCTCTATCAGGTGCTCATAATATTTCAATGCCCTGCAATGACTCTTGGCATGAAAACAATATTCTTAACCTAGCCTGAGAAGCTCTCCATGGTCTGTGTTTAACAACCTCTGTAGCTTGATTTTTATCCTCATTTTCTCCTTTGCTCTATCCAGAGTAAAATTATCTAGATTTCCTGTGCCCACCACACTTCTTTGCAGACCCTACTCCATCAGCTGGATATGCTTTCCACTTCCCTCTCAGTAGAGTCCATTCTTTCCTGTAGTCAGTCTCCTTAGTGTGGTTGAGTCAGCATTTCCTGACCCCTTTGGTAACATTATAACCCCACATGTACCTTTCCCCTACAGTATTTGCAAAAGGACAATGTGGGCTTTATTTCAGAGATAATTTGATTTGGTTCTTTCTTTACAACCTTACTGAAAGTACCATGTACATATAAGGGATGTTTGTTTTTGTTCACTGTTGCACTTCCAGAGCCTAGTAGAGGATCTGACAAATTGAACATGTTCAGGCAATAGTTGCTGAAAAAAATTAATAAATCAAAGAATATATCTTACCTACTAAAATAAAATTCTTAATTAAGAAATTCATAATTAAAGGATGTAGGGAAAAGAACGATGTGAAAGAGAAAATTGAGACATTTATCTTAAGTATTATTTTAACTATTGATACAGGTATTGCTCTCCTTTCATTATCTTTTTCTAAATAATAAAGTAGAATACTTTGTTCTTTGTTGCTTTCCTATTTGTACACATATGGATTTTTAATATTTTACTCACAATTTTACTATTTATTAGTAATGGATAATTCAGTTGATGTTTGGATGTTCTATTTCTAATCATACAGGTTCTACACCTATGATATATGGCACAAATGTTAGTTTACTTTTATATGAACAGATTTTAATATGCCCTCGCTTATAGTTTTCAGTGCTTTATAAATTAAGCTTTGGAAGAGCTCTGCTCAGTCCTCAGCAACCATAAACTAGAAACTAATCAGTAAGGATGTGTTAGTTTGAGTTTAATGTCTGCCACATAGCATGTGCCAGCAACTATTTTGGAACAACAACAACAGCACCAATTTTTGCAAGACTTGAAAAGCCAATGAGGAGAAATATCATAAGACCAAAAGGGAACAAAGAAAGAACAACATTTTTGCAGATATCATTTGGTTCATGAAGAATGAAACAGTTTAGTTCCTCAAGGCACTAAAATGTATAACTGATTAGGTTAATTCCCTCAGTTTTTCTTGTTTCCTTTCTACGTTAACAGTTTATTCTTTATCACCTGACATGATATAGATTCTACAAGCTCAAGATAGTTTAAAGTAGGAACCCATGGTTCTGCATATCTTTATTTGCTCACAAATTCTAATACCTATTCCTTGTCCACAGCAAGACTACTAGCTATGAGAATATATTCAAAATGGAAGAAATAGAGTGCAGATATTAAGATGTTTTCAAAAGAATGGTTGAATTCATTTATGATTTGGAGCATAATTTCCTTTGGAGCATTAAAATAGGAGAACACTCTGATTTTGTGAAGAAATTCTAAAAACAAGGAAATTAATATTCAAACTCATAGTTTCTAATTTAATTAAATATTAATTCATAGGGTAAAAGAATAAGTTATATTCTCTATCCATAAGAGATTAGGGATTTCTTTTCAGAAAGTAATACCTTCAGAAACCAAACAATAGAACAAAGTGAAAGTGACATAAAACCTTTTATGGACTGAATTTCTCAGAAAAGAAAAAACATAAATATCAGTTTGATTTAACTTTATCCATTTCATCATAGTGTTACCAGAAAGGGGTCCTGATCCAGACCCCAAGAGAGGATTCTAGGATCTCACATGATAAAAAATTCAGGGAGAGTCCTCAGTGCAAAGCAAAACCAAGTTTATTAAGAAAGTAAAGTAGTGAAAGAACAGCTACTCCATAGACAGAGTAGGGCATTCCTGAAAGAAAGAGGAGGAAGGCATCCACCCTAGGTCTGATACTTGTTTATATATAGGATAAAAAAATCATGGGGTGATATGTTCTGCCACAGGGCTTGTGGTAAGGTATTAATTTTCTTAATTACTCTATTTTGCAAGGATCTATATTATTATCTTTAAAGCAAAATTAGGAATATTCTGATCTCAAGATATCGGGATATTAGAACACTCCTAAGTTGGGTCTGTTTAGCAAACAGTATCAATCTGTTTCCTTAACCGTAAACATCTAGAGGCTAGGAATACCTAACTTACTGGGAATGCAACCCAGCAAGTCCCAGCCTCATTTTCCTAGCCCTCACTCAGGATGGAGTTGCTCTGGTTCAAATGCCTCTGACGTATTTCCCTCCTCCCTTTACAGGAGGGCTGTTAATCCTAAGCATTGCAGACCAATGAAGATCTGTCTTCTGTAGCTTCTTAAGGCTGAATAGGGGCAATGATATTCCTGCCTAACTATTGGGTCTCTTCCATTCAGGGTAGAGAGGAGCACAGTCAGAAAGTGTTGGTATGGTGAGGGTTGTTCATAACTTCTAGTTCCAACAAAAGGTGATATCTGGAAGATTAATAAGTGTCCAATTTAAGAAAGCACTGAGTAAGCTTATCTTGCATTTCTATACAAAGAGTACAATCACAGTGAAAGTAAAATAAGTAAAATCATTCCAAGCAAACTAAACAGGAAGGCTTTCTAAGAACTGGGCAGTTGTTGGAAACAAGCTGATGTAGGGTTGCTGGCTGATTCCAATATGTGTTCAGAATTAGAATATTGATCTAGAGTTTTACATTACCCATTTCTCTTGTTTCTTCTGAGCTGCAGTCAGAGATCACTGGTTGGTTCACTGGAATAAACAAGGTTATTAAATTGCATATTCCGTTGAACCAACCAGTGATTAGCCTAAATTTCAGAAACAAACACAAAAACAACAAATGAGACGAGAATCTAATAGTAAGTGTACCATAGTTTTTGAAACATAATTTCTCTCTCCAGCCTCCCATTTTTACTAAAGACAAATCATGGTAAGACCAATTTGCTTTATTATAATTGGCCTGATTATTTGTATAAAGTGAAGCAAGAATAATTATTTTTCACATAAGCTTTTTAAAGAATTGGCTTTGATGAAACTGTTCCATAGAAGGAATCTCAAATAAGACTTTTTTAAAGCCAAGCCCTGCCATAGGTCTGTACCTTCAAATACATATGAGTTGAGTAAACTCCTCTCCTCTTGAGGTCCCAAGATAACTTGGGGCTCCCGGGCCTGTCAAAAAGTGACATTCTTTATTTACTACAGGTCAGAAACCCTGTACAGGAATTCTGTACAGGGACTAGGTAGACAAGGTATGAGGCTAGTTTTCCCAAGAGGCTTTAATTGGCTTTGTCAAGTTTGATTCCTTAAAAGAAAGCATACCATTCCCCTCAAACTTTGGCAAAATAAGCAATTTCTCCAATTGTGTCTTGTGCAAAGAAAAAAAAATTCTTATTGCTCTTATGCAAATAACTATGCCATAAATTGAGAATACTCACAAATAGTTTCCAAATTCTGGAGAAATCAGGTAGAGAGAAATAAATATGCTCCAAACTTTGTTCACAGGAGTATACTTTACTCAATTGTTACAAGCTGTAAATAACTAAAAAGTTTCCTCAACTCAGAAAAACAAAACAAGGGATCAGCACTGTTTTAAGAAAAAAGTCAAAAAGATTACTTCAGTCTCCTATTAGTTCAGTCCATGTAATTAATTCCTGTTCTACTTGATAGTCATGAACATTTCAGGTCTTCATGAGACCCCTGAAAGTTTTTTTCTGTATTCTAATGTCACAATCTCCAAAGTTATCACAAATTTGCATTTAAGAACATCTATCAAATCCTGGTAGCTTATTGTAAACCACATTTGAAGAGGACCAACACAAGGTAATTGTCTGTGGATGGCAAAAACTTGTAAGACAGCCACAATTAAAGCCACAGTTGATAAGGAAATTTGGTTACTTCTGTGTCATACAAAATTTTACCTAACACTTACAACTATTAATAACATACGCTAAGCCATATTAGAATTATAGAAGTCTTTATAATTTTGGAACAAATACCAATAACATATTTATACAAATACAGCCCAAAGAAAGCCAATTTTATATTTGACAATGTTTCCTGTATTACTTTTATACCAAATAAGCCAAATTTCACCTTTGCATTAGTGTACTGTTGATGTTAAACCCAATTCTTAATAAAACATCATAGATAAATCTACTCAGTTTTAATCAGTATGACCATAAGGTAATATTCCAATAAACCTTTTATAACTCTTTACAAATTTTTGTTAAAGAGCAAATCAGTGCTCTAAGAAAAACCTGTTGTGCTTTATTCCAATGCTCAATTTAAGGAAAAACTGAATACCCCTTTAACATTAGCCAATATGTTCACACACAGAATTTCTTTCATGAGATTAATTTTTCACAAACCTTGCACAATTTTTTCAAACCTTCAGCTTTATTCTATCTAACTTACCACAATCTGTTAACCCTTTAATTTAGGCAAGAAATCTACATTCTCATGACATTTTATAATCTTTTATCACAAACACATTTCACTTTCCTCACACACCTTGCATGTAAAACTGTTTCTTCAGTAGTCTCAAATACTGTTATACTATTAATGCTTAGTGACTTTTATGTTTGGTGAAAACCTTGCTAAGTAATCAATTTTAATTATATACTAGGTGTGGAGCTTAGGACACCAGATAAGGTCTGACTTTTTACAGCATAGCTAGGGGGCATGGCTAACACCACATGTCCCCAGGCCTTATCTAGAATCTAACCCTCCAAAATAAGTTGAACAACTTTTTTTTAAGTCAAAGAAGCAGTTTATGACCTTAAGGCATTTAACAAACTTAACATCTGACCTACCTAATTTAGACCAAATGTCTTCATTTTTAATAATCTTTAAAGCTGTTTTTATTTCCCAAAGATTATTAAACTCCTGTGGACTAAAAGGCATTACAATTTTTATTTTTCTTTTAAAATATTTGATTTAAGCTCTTATTATTCTTAAACCAATTAATTAAAGCTCTTTCATATATAAACATCACACACATAACACATATAAATCCAAAGACAGGCAGAAGATAAAGGACCATTCCCTAAGCCAGGAATTGAACCCTGACCCCGGGCCACCATTGTGAAAAGAGAAAGCATGGCCACATGGTTACAAGGTCAAGCTCCCAAGGACAGGACTGACCAGTTTGCTGGGCCATCTTGAACAGCAGGCTTATAGGAGTCCTAGGCCTGCATTCTATCCTAAGGTACCCTTCATTATGACAGAACAATACAGAAAGACAAACAAAGTTCACCAGATCCACCACAGCTTAAATTAGCCTCATGAATCTTTTTTCCCATTAATCAGAACTTTACAGAGATAAACAGTGATTTTTACCATTTGTTCAGAGGGAGAGAGAGGCCAGAAGTTTGACTGGTAAGAAATTCTTTTGCCAGCATGACAAGTTTCTGGGTTGCCTTTCCCTGAGCAGCCCTAGTGACCTGGCTCACTGCACCAGAGCCCTGGGGGCCAAGCCACAATACAAAGGAAAATTATCTGTTTCCATTCTGTCCAGAGCAAACTACATGTGACAAAACATAGACATTAACCACTCTGTTTAGCACCCAATATCAAACAGGCAAGGCTCAAACTTGCCCCCGGTTGGGCCCGATCATCGTTAATGCAACCTCTGACCATGAGTTTCAACATGCAGTCTCTGGGCAAGATGGTCGCCCTCAGTAAAAGAAAAGATAGAAAAGAGAAAGAGAGAGAGAAAAGCTTTGCATGTGGCAGGGTCAGGAGGGCAAAGTGCTCAAGGAGGCCAGAGAAAGACACACGCATTGCAGCAAAACTAAAAAGTTCAGGCGGCCACTTGTCAGTAGCAAAGGGATCTTTTGCAGCAGTTCCATTAGCTCTCCAGTTTTCATTTTTAGGAAGGAAAGAGCTCCCCATGTCTCACCATCCTGTACATGCCTAATTCTGTCACCCATACCCGTCAGCAAAAACTGCAAGGCAGAATAACCCAAAGAGAATAGCAGTTAGCATCCCATAGTGCCAAACCCATTCTTAGACAAGAGGGACTTTACTGAGAGGGGCCTCTAACCCCCTAAATCTTAGGAATTACTCTAACCTTTCTAAGTTGGGCTTCGAACCCAAGTTCGGTCAAACATCCTTGTCTTTTATTAAGAGAGGCCTTTAACCTTCTCTGTCTTAGGAGAGATTCTAACTCCCCTAAATTGGGCCTCTAACCCAATCCCATCTTTTATTTGGGTATCTCAATATTTACCCAAAGTCTACCAATCAGTGCTTCAGTCTATTTCCCTTGGGTTGAGTTTTTTTTTTTTTTTTTCAGTACCATCCTTTCGTGGTCACCAGAAAGACGTTACAGGAAAGGAGTCCTGATCCAAACTGCAAGAGTGGGTTCTTGGAACTCATGCGAGAAAGAATTCAGGGCAAGTCAACAGTGCAAAGCAAAAGCAAATTTATTAAGACAGTGAAGTGGTGAAAGAACAGCTACTCCATAGACAGAGTAGGTCGTTCCCAAAAGTAAGAGCAGGAACATGTCCACCCTAGGTACAATGCTTATTTATATACAGGATAAAAATTTAAAAAGACCATGGGGAAATATGCTCTGCTACAAGGGTTTATGGTAAAGGATTTTCTTAATTACTGTATTTTGCAGGAATCAATATTATTATCTTTACTTTTTATTTATTTTTACTTTTTTATTTATTTATTGTTTTTTGAGATGGAGTCTTGCTAGTTTGCCCAGGCTGGAGTGCAGTGGCGCAATCTCAGCTCAATGCAAGCTCTGCCTCCCAGGTTCACACCATTCTCCTGCCTCAGCCTCCCAAGTAGCTGGGACTACAGGTGCCTGCCACCACGCTCGGATAATTTTTTGTATTTTTTAGTAGAGACAGGGTTTCACTGTGTTAGCCATGATGGTCTCGATCTCCTGACCTTGTGATCCGACCACCTTGGCCTCCCAGAGTTCTGGGATTACAGGTGTGAGCCACCGCGCCCAGCCTCAATATTATTATCTTTAAAGCAAAATTAGGAATGCTTCTGTTGTGAAGATATAGCGACATCAGGACACTCCTAAGTCTGAGTATGTTTAGTAAATGTTATCAATCTGTTCCCTTAATTGTAAACATCTAGAGGCTAGTGAAGCAGTCTACAGTCACTGGAGGAGTCTCGTTGTCTGAAGTATTACTGGAGTTCTTTGTCTCATGACTAAGAAAATTAAGGAGCATAGCCACCAAGGGTGAGGTTGGAGCAAAGTTCAATAAGCTAAAGAGGAAAGCTCTCCACAGTGGAGAAGGGGCCCAAAAGAGTTGCCATTTCACAGTTGAATGCAAAGGCTTTTATAAACAAGTTACAGGGGCAGAGGGTTTCATTTACATGAGGCACAAAAAACCAGTTAGGGCTGGATGTCTTATTTGCATAATGGATGAATTCTTGTTAGCTCCATTCCATCCTTCTAGTGCACATTTGGGTCCTTAGCCTGAGTTACTCCATGTTGTTTTATTTCCCTTACTGTGTATGTGTAAGGAGATGGAATATTCCACTGCAGGTGTGTTTGGTTCTGTGTAATTTTTCTTATCTATATGGCTGCAGGTCTGTCTTAGGCAAGCCCCTCTGTACAAGTTCCCTTATCTGAGTATGCCCAAAAAGGAGAGGAAAGTGCTCACTGAAGCCCACCATGTATAGGCAGATTTCACTGGTTGCACAAGAGACAAAGGCATTGGACCTTGCTTCCTTATCTGCGCTTGCAGCTTGATTGCTTCCAGGCTGCTCTTTTGTTGGAAAGACTTCTATCAGGGGCCTTGTCCTAACTATCTGCCTAACTGGTTCCTTCCTCTCTCCTCTCTCATTAGGAATACCTATCTTTGAGAATCCAGCCCAGCAAGTCCCTGACTCATTTTTTTCCTAACCCTCACTCAAGATGAAGTTGCTCTGGTTCGAGTGCATCTGAAAATAGGACTACATATTTTATTCATAAGCTATACAATTATCTGGGAGGCAATTCAAAAAATAAGTGAGCTAATTCACTTTGTTCAGTTTACTAAACTTCACCTAAAATTCCAGAGGTACACGTCTATTTTCTTATTTCACATACTGAGTTTTAAAGTCACATTTATAAGGAGTAAACATCTGGTCATCCTTGAAAATAATAACCTTAGACTTTTTCTAACTGTCAAAACACAGGAAAAATCCAAACTCAGTAGAAATGGATTTGGTTTTGTTTTCCATGTTGATACTAAATGTCTTCTGTTTTCATCATTTCTAGTAAGGGTTGTACATTATAAAAAAGGAAGCCAGATGTGGTGGCTCATGCCTGTAATCCGAGTGATTTGGGAGGCTGAGGCAAAAGGATTGTTTGAGGCCAGGAGTTCAAGACAAGCCTGGGCAACATAGCAATAACTCACCTTCACTAAAAATAAAATAATTAACCAAGTGTGGTGGCACATCCCTGTAGTCCCAACTACTCGGGAGGCTGAGGCAGAAGGATCACTTGATCCCAGGAATTCAAGGCTCCAGTGAGCTATGATTGCTCCACTGCACTCCAGCCTGGGTGATCAGGTGAGATCCTGTCTCAAAAAATAAAATAACATAAAATAAATTAAAATTATAAAAAGTATATCCTTGGAAATTACTCCAAAGTTTAATGGTAATAATTGTTACTTGAAAAGGAAAACGTAAAAGTGGAACAGACAAAATCAGATCAGAAGCAGAACCAGAACATAAATCCGTGGGGACAATAAAAACAAAGTTATTTTCCATTATAATTCATTACACCTTCAGAATTGAAGCCCTTGGTTTCTCTTACACTGTCCAGCCTTGGTTTTCCCTTGTCTCTCTAGCTGCTCTTCGTTGTAACTGCCCAAGAGTTCCTTCCTGCCCACTGCATAAAGAAAGACCATGGCATTGTAGTAGAGAAAGAGTTTAATAGACAGGAGGCCAGCCATGCCATGTGGGAGATGGAGTTCGTACTCGAATCATCTCCTTCAAAGCTCTTAGGTTAGGGGCTTTTCAAAGGCAGCTTGGGGGAAGGGGTAGGGGTGGTCAGTTAACAGGTGCTTGCTGCTGATTGTTTGGGGCAGAGATGAAATCATAGCGGGGTTGAAACCCTTGCTGGCTGAATTGCTTCTGGGTGGGGCCACAGGAGAGGGGTTGTCGGTTCAGGTGGAGTCATCGGGTCCAGGTGGAGCCATGTGTGTCAGACATGCAAAGAAACCTGACAAGCTATCTTAACAGGCCAGTCTACAATACTGGTGTTATTTTGCAAGAGGAATTGGGGAAAGTTGCGTGTCTTACAACCTCCGGAATAATGTCCGCATCTTAGCAGGACTCACACTCCTCTCCCCGTAGCCTGGAGGCCTCCTGTTAGCTTTACAAAAGCTGCTGAGTTTTGGGAAAGACAATTATCATTTAAACTGTAGCCTAAATGTCTTTTAAAGTTAGCTTGATCCAATAGCCCAGGAATAATTTAGGGAAAGGCAAGATGGGGGGTGGGTTAGGTTAGCTTGTTGTTAAAATTTTCTCGCAGATATAACTTTTGCAAAGGTGGTTTCATTATGAAGTTGCTCAGCTGGCTTCAATGATTAAATGTTTGAAATCCTCAGAGTCTGGCTTTAGTCTAGTCTACTTGTATCCACCGCCCCGCCCCCACACGGCATTTGCTAATTTATCTCCCCACTTCTATCATCCCTCACTGTTTCTCCATTCTTTTCAAACTCAAATCTGATTAGGTTCTTGCTTTAGTCAAAAACCTTAAATGACTTACATTCCTCTAAGGAAAGAAAAAAAAAATCAACATCATTTAAATGGTCGAAAGGGCTCTTCATTTTGTGGCCCATGCTCCTCTCTCTGGCATCATTTTATGCTGCTCTTTTGCTTTAGAAACAGAAGGTCATTTACTTGCCTAATTTTGATTCGACAAACACACATCCTCCTGCTTCAGGGTCTTTACGCATGCAGTGCTCTGCCAGAGAAGCTCACATGCTGTCTGTTTAAGAATTTTCAGCCGGGCGTGGTGACTCACGCCTGTACTCCCAGCACTTTGGGAGGCTGAGGCGGGCGGATCACAAGGTCAAGAGTTCGAGACCAGCCTGGCCAACATGGTGAAACCCTGTCTCTATTAAAAAAAAAATACAAAAATTAGCCAGCGATGGTGGCGAGCGCCTCTAATCTCAGCTACTCGGGTGGCTGAGGCAGGAGAATCGCTTGAACCCAGGAGACAGGGGTTGCAGTGAGCCGAGATTGCACCACTGCCCTCCAGTCTGGGTGACAGAGCAAAACTCCATCTCCAAAAAAAAAAAAAAATTCTACTTATCGGCCGTGCATGGTGGCTCATGCCTGTAATCCCAGCTTTCGGAGGCTGAGGCAGGCAGATCACCTGAGGTCGGAAGTTCGAGACCAGCCTGATCAACATGGTGAAACCCCGTCTCTACTAAAAATACAAAAATTAGCTGGGCGTGGTGGCACACTCCTGTAATCTCAGCTACTCGGGAGGCTGAGGCAGGAGAATTTCTTGAACCCAGGAGGTGAAGGTTGCAGTGAGCCAAGATCACACAATTGCACTCCAGCCTGGGCAACAAGAGCGAAACTCTGTCTCAAAAAAAACAACAACAACAAAAAAAGAAATTTCTACTTATCTTTCAGATCTCAGATGATGTAGCATTTCCGCAGGGAAGACTTATCCAATCCCTGAAGTATTAAAGACATCTCCCCCACTTATTTTTCTTTCATAATACTTCACACACTTGGCAATTATGCATTAATTTGCATAAGTATTTTGATTAAGTCTTTATCTCTTCTTTGAGTCATCATAGTATCTCCTAGCTACAGTTGAAGAATTGGTACAAAGTTGCTGTTTGATGAATTTTGGCTGAATGAACGGATGAAATGACAAGTTTTATATTGCTAAGCCTCAGAACACTTCTTTGGAAAAAGGTGTTCCAATTATTTCATTTTACCAAGAGAAATCTGAAGTTGGCAGGAATGAAAAAGCATGCCTATGCTCATCAAGATTAACTTGAACCTGAAATCAAAGCTCATGCTATAACTACTACTGTATAGTGGCTAAAGTCAAAGGGTCTGGGGCTACACAGAACTGGCTTTAAATATGGTTAGGACATTTACTTGCTCTGCAATTCAGGCAAGTCAATTTCTTTACGAATTGGTTTCCTCATCGATAATATAGAGCTCATAAGAATAGCAATCACATAACATAATTGTGGCAATTAGGTGACATAATAAATATAAGGCACAGTGAAGGACAGATGCAGGCTCAATAATAGCAGTCAATATTATCTTACCCAAGCACTTCTGACTCAGTTTTGAATAGAATGTTATCATTCATGTATCTTAGATTCTTTTACCTGTATAAATTGCCATAGATCTCATCTCTTTGTCTTTACTGTGCAATACTTACCCAGGAGAGAATAAACTCAAATATGATCCTATCATTTTAACTAGACATGCTCCAAAAACATGGGCAGTTATCTGATAGAGGTAGTATTCTGCTATTTCTGTAGTATCGTAAACCAGATGATTAGACTGACTTTATTTTATGCAACTGTATAACATTGGTACAGAGCATTTTTAAAGAAAAAAATCAATTTACAATTAGAAAACCTATCCAGACTAAGTCCATTTGTCCTTCTAACAAATTTAAAATGTTTGTATATTTCTTATATTATTAAGACCACATTGTGCTTTTATCAGTTCACATGATTTTATAAATATCTTCATATTTATCATCAAATTATCTTCATAAATACAAGCTTATGCCTACAAAACATTCATCTGTATAGATATAAAAATATTTATCTGTTGGACATTTAGGATATTTGTAATGGTTTGCAATTATAAATAATACTGCAATTAATGTTTGTAAATGAAATTTTCCTCTGTTGAATTATTTTCTTTGGATAAATTCCCTAGAGTGGGTAATTAGTGGTAGTCTTACCACTACATATTTGTTACACATTAATGGCCATATCTCAAGGAGTTAGAGAATAGCCTGTACAAAATTCTACTGACTTAATGCAGAGATAAGTATAAAAATTTCAAACTGCACATTCGCAAGATGCTCAGAGAGTATCAATAATTGGTGAGACATATCCCTGGGTAGTATTTATAGAACATGAGGACAACCTTCAATGATCCTTTCAAAAAGCAAATCATCATTAAATAACAATAGCAGGCCTGGCGCGGTGGCTCACGCCTGTAATCCCAGCACTTTGGGAGGCCGAGGCAGGCAGATCACTTGAGGTCAGGAGTTTGATACCAGCCTGAACAACATGGGGAAACCTCGTCTCTACTAAAAACACAAAATTAGCTGGGCGTGGTGGCACATGCCTGTAATCCCAGCTACTTGGGAGGCTGAGGCAGGAGAATTGCTTGAACTCGGGAGGCAGAAGTTGCGGTGAGCCGAGATCGTGCCATTGCACTCCAGCCTGGGCAACAAGAATGAAACCCTGTCTCAAAAAATAAATAAATAACAATAGCAAAAGCCACATTGCACTCCCTTTGAAATTACCAAATTTAGTGTCATCAGACTCAGCCAGATTGATACTATATGGCCAATAACTAGTAAAAATTATCAATTTAATACCCAAATTCAGTGTAAGTTTTAAAATATTGATTTATTTGTTGAGTCATTTGTGCCTTCCTAGAGTAAGAATAAGAGCTTCAGACTCTAATTCTAAGCTGTGCAGTTAAATTATGTATCCCTTTCTAAGTGTTCAGACATTAACTAGAATCAGTTTCTCTCCCAGGTCTCATGAAAGTGTCAGATCTGTTTGAACCAGAGCAACTCCATCTTGAATAGGGGCTGGGTAAAATGAGGCTAAGACCTGCTGGGCTGCATTGCCAGGAGGTTAAGACATTCTAAGTTACAGGATGAGATAGGAGGTCAGCACAAGATACAGGTAATAAAGACCTTGCTGATAAAACATGTTGCATGGGAAGAAGCCGGCCAAAACCCAGCAAAACAAAGATGGTGATGAGAGTGACCTCTGGTCATCCTCACTGCTACACTCCCACCAGCACCTGACAGTTTACAAATGCCATGGCAATGTTAGGAAGTTACCCTATATGATCTAAAAAGGGAGGCATGAATAATCCACCCCTTGTTTAGCGTGTAATCAAGAAATAACCATAAAAATGGGCAATCAGCAGCCCATGGGGCTGCTCTGTCCATGGGGTAGCGATTCTTTTATTGCTTTACTTTTCTAACAAACTTGCCTTCACTTTATTCTATGGACCTGCCTTGAATTCTTTCTTGGGAAAGATCCAAGAACCTTCTTTTAGGGTCTGGATGGGGACACCTTTCCAGTAACAAAAGTCCCAGACTAAATCTTGGGATTATCTTCAAGTTGCATGTGACAGTTACCTCAAGTACATACCTAATAATCTTTGAATTAGTAAAATTAGAGTTTGCCTAATTCACTTGGAACTGCCAGCACATGATGTTACAACCTTTAGCACAGCTTTGGTTTGGTTTAACTAAAGATATTCTTTACCAGCATTGCCTAAATTGTCACAGATTTATTGTTAAGATGCATCAGATAAACGTAAGCAAGTACATAGAGTAAAACTCAGGATTTCTGGCCAAAGTGTTATATAAAAAGCAAAGTTATCTTATTAATATAAGATTTCAGTAAAATACACATTTTCCTTTTTAAAAGTAAATTTAAAAGTGGAATTGAAGATTATTTTCTGATGCAAGTCAGGGTTTAGTTAGGAATTTAAAATCACTTTTCCATGGTATATAATAAAACTGGGAAATGAAACACAACTGGTTTGAATAAAATGTTTACCTTTTCTTGCATTCTTTAATGCATTACTTAATTTATGGGAGAATTTTCATAAATGCATAAAACATGTTCTTCAAGAAGCAAAGTTACTAGAGTGCCTATTTCTCTTCCCATAATTTATTATTCACTTATATTAACTTTATTCAAACAGAGCATGCCCTGTTTCCTCACCTTCCTACCGGCTGTATTGCTAACAGCAATTTTGTATTTATAGATTTTTGGAATTTCATTTAATATTTGTAAAAACAAACTTGGCTAGATCATGAGTTATTTTAAATTCCAGAAAAGTATGTTTCCATTTTTCTTTTATTCTTATTTATCATCATTCTTCAATTTCCACCCCCAACCCCGACATATAGATGAAAATTCTACCATGCTGACCCAGCTGTAAAGGAGTCACCTGCAATCCTGAGTGAGACATTCTTTGTGATGACTTCTTCCAAATATCTATTCCTGTAGATTGTATAACTACAATTGTATAACTACAATATTTGGAAGAAGTCATCACAAAGAATGTCTCACTCAGGATTGCAGGTGACTCCTTTACAGCTGGGGCAGCATGGTAGAATTTTCATCTATATGTGGGGGTTGGGGGTGGAATTAATAAAAACACCAGGTATGTGCCTATTCATTCAGAGGTAAACTGTGGAGAGAAGTTGGTTTCTAATTATCTTTGAGAATATATGTGTTTGATTTCTCACAAATTGGATGACAGAACTTTATTTCATGTTTCATACTTATTGGTGAGTTTGGCAATATGTTTAAACAAGTTGATTTTTTATCTCCTAATTTTACAATTAAGGCATAACACTTTCTCAGCTCTTTATAGAATAGATTTACCGCATAATAGAAACCCAAGAAATTAATTTTGGCAACAAATAAAAATAGATAAGTAGCTAACTGGACATTAAAATCAGTAACATAATGCTTGATGATAAAATGCAAAGCAAAGGGATTGATGGCAGCCATTTAAATTTAATTGACCTGAAATAGGTCATTCTAATTTTTGGACTAAATGTATGTTTTTGTTGCTACTATGTTCTAAGATGTTTGTTGAAGAAGCAGAATAAAAGTTGTTGTACAAAAGGAAAAAAAAATGCAGTCCTCTGATTTTCAACTGTGTGCTTCATTAAGTTTACATTTGTGTATTTCATGTTAGAAAGGAAACAAGAAATGACTGTGAAATTGCCTGAGATTTTCAGAGGAAAACTGTCAAAGACGAATGACTAGGGAAGAACAATTAGGATAGTTAAAAGCTAAGAATCATGTCATAAGAAATATCTTAAGATAGTGCATTTATTTCTTACAAAATAGAGGGTAGAGGCGGGACTTCTGAAGGGAAATGACATGGAGGCGACTTGTGACTCAATTTGAGTGTTTCAGAAATGCAAAGGAATGTGATGCCTTGTTAAGTAACAAGCTTCCCGCCCCAGGTACTTGTAAGCCAAAGATTAATGATTATTAGAAATATTGATGTTTTATAGGTGTTTGATTTTTTAGGTAAAAACTTAACTATTTAACATCTCAGCTCTTCTTTTAAGATCATACCTTTTCTAAACAATTTCTCTTTGAAGAGGTGTTTTCTGAAACTGCTATTTTGGTTAGGTTATTTCTTCTTTACAGGAAGTGTATCATAGCTGTTACAAGCTAAGAAATATGTGTTTTTATTTTTAGTTTTTGTTTATACTCCAGGCTATGTAATATTACATGTGAAATGAATTGAAATGAGAAAAAATCTCAGATGCATCTATTCACACAGAATATCATTATAGAGAAAGAAACGACACATTTTGACATTTTTTTCTTTCTAGGAATAATTGTAAATAGTGATTCAAGGTAAAAAAATGCATATATCAATTATAATGTCAGAAAAAAATAATGTGGGAAAAACCTATTAACATAATTTTGTTTTAAAATGAAATCACATTATAAAATATATAGGTAATAAAAATTTTAATGTATTATTCTATAGTATCTAAGAGGTTGTCTTATAATAATATGTAATGTAAAAATAAAGTAGTCTTAAATACACTTCATTTTAAATATTTTAAGAACAGCTTTGCTTCAGTTTGAAATTCATATTTTTAGTGTTAGGAAAGGTCTTGTATATTAACTGGCAATTCTTTCCTTAAAAGTAAAATAAGCTGCAAAAAGTTTATAATTTTGTAAAATTGTTCATTGAATTAGTAGAAAATAAAAGACAAACATCTGGCTTTCTCTCACTAATACTGTAACTGTGTATACCAGCCTAGAAATGCATTTTAGAGCTTTTTTCCCTTCTTAATCTGAGAATGTAGCCTTGAAAAGTACCTGAAAACCCTTTATTTCCTCCTTTTTCCATCATACAACCCCCTTACACCATGCACATTTATGTAACTGTATGCTTGTTAAACTTACACCATGCACACTTAACTATGTGCTTACTTAGAAGTTCCAGGGGCTAATCATGAGACAGACCAGGCAGGGAGACCCAACTGCAAAATTCCAGAGATTACCTCAAAGTGGTTAGTTAACAACCTGGCCATGGTTGAGATAATGCCAGCCTGCACTCCAGGTGGAGCACAACTCAAGAAAGCCACCAGAACAGAAGACACAGACCTTGTATTCAGGACTATTTCCACATGCCTCCCATTCCAAGTTCCCTTTGTAAGCCCCTTGTCCCAGCCTAAAGTTTGAAATGGTTTCCTTAAGGTACTAGCCTTGACCATTTCCTCACTGCTAGCTCTGGAATAAAGTCAATTTCCTTTCACTAACTCATCCCTGTTATTGGCTTTGCAAGCAGCAAGCAGTTGAGCCTATGTTTAGTTACAATACTAGTAATAATAGTAATAATAATAACATTGATAGCTAACAATTGATATGTTGCTTATTACTGATTTATTAAGATGGGGGAATTGCAATTGAGAAAGAGTAATTTATGCAGAACAGGCTGTGTGGGAGACCGGAGTTTTATTACTACTCAAATCAGTCTCTCTGAGCATTTGGGGATCGGAGTTTTTAAGGATAATTTTGTTGGTAGGGGGAAGGCCAGTGAATTGGGAGTTTTGATTGGTCAGGTCAGAGATGAAATCACAGGGAGTCGAAGTTGTCCTCGCACTAAGTCAGTTTTTTGGTGGGGTCCACAAGGTCAGATGAGCCAGTTAATCCATCAAGTGCAGGGTCTGCAAAATATCTCAGGATCTCATCTTATGTTTTAAAATAGTGATGGTATCCCCAGGAGCAATTTGGGGAGGTATAGAATCTTGCACCCTCCAGCTGCATGACTCCTCAACCATAATTTCTGATCTCGTGACTCATTTGTTACTCCTGCAAAGGCAATCTAGACCCTAGGCAGGAATGGGGTTTGTTTTGGGAAAGGGGTGTTAACGTCTTTGTTTTAAAAGCTAAACCATAAACTAAGTTCCTC
The DNA here is from genome assembly GCF_000001405.40 of Homo sapiens. Lineage (NCBI taxonomy): Eukaryota > Metazoa > Chordata > Mammalia > Primates > Hominidae > Homo > Homo sapiens. The sequence goes on along the minus strand of NC_000004.12, from coordinate 137,454,078 downwards.
CCAAAATTACTTCAGCCTACGCTCAGGAATGAACAAGGGCAGCTTGGAGGTTAGAAGCAAGATGGAGTCAGTTAGGTCAGATCTCTTTCACTGTAATAATTGCCTCAGTTACAATATTTGCAAAGGCAGTTTTAATGGCAACATTTTTCTAAGCACTCTACATAATTAGCACATTTATTTCCAAAAAGCTCAAGATAAATATTACCCCATTTACAGGTGAAAACATGGAGGCACAGAGAGATAAAATGAAACACTGAAGGTCCTTTCGGTAGGGAGGCAGTGGCCTTAAGACTAGAATCTCGGGCAGTCTGGTCACAGAATATGAATTTTGAACTATTGCACTATACTGCCTCTTCAAATTGAGGTATTTTGGGTCATCCCTTTAAAAATTTTATACAGGCTGAGCACCGTGGCTCATGCCTGTAATCCCAGAACTTTGGGGGGCTGAGGTGGGCGGATCACCTGAGGTCAGGATTTCGAGACCAGGCTGACCAACATGGGGAAACCCCGTCTCTACTAAAAATATAAAATTAATGGGGCGTGGTGGTGCATGCCTGCAATCCCAGCTACTTGGGAGGCTGAGGCAGGAGAATCGCTTGAACCCCGGAGGCGGAGGTTGCAGTGGGCCAAGGTTGTGCCATTGCACTCCAGCCTGGGCAACAAGAGAGAAACTCTGTTTCAAAAATAAATAAATAAATAAATAAAATAAAAATTTTATTCATAAAATGTTTAAGGACAGCGACAAGTAAATGGGAGTTGGGTGAGGAATTTATTGTGTGTGGTTTGAATATCCTGGATGACAATTAAAATATGTCTCAAGGTCTTTCTGGGCAGTAACTCTGTGGAAATGCGTCTGCTGGAATCCTGGAATTTGGAGACTATGTTGTAGAGAAACAGAGTAGACCTCTGAGGCTTAACTGAGGAACTGTCTTCTAAACAGAAGCTCCTGGAAAGTTATTTCAAATGGAAACATTGAGTTGTCTGTTTTGAGAGAGCTGAGAGAAGCAAGTGGAAGGACTGGAAGACCCAAGAAAGCAAACATGGAGGAATTAGTCAGCATGTATTGGTATCACTGCAATGGGCACAGGTCATGGCTGCCATTGCCAGTAAGAAAAAACTGCTCAGTGATCTTGAAACTGCCTTTGCAAAATTATGACTGAGACAGTGAAAGAGATCTAACCTTACTGACTCCATCTTGGTTCTAATCTTTAAGCTGTCCTTGTTCCTTCCTGGGCGTAGGCTGAACTAACTTTGGGAGGAACTTAGTTTATAGTTTAAAACAAAGCTGATAACAGCCCTTTCCCAGAACAAACCTCCTTCTTACCTGGAGGGCAGACTGCCTTTGTAGGACTAACAAAATAGCCACAAGTTTAGAAATTACGGTTTAGGAGTCATGCATATGGAGGCTACAAGAATCTGGCCCTCTCTAAACTGCTCCTAAGATCAGTGCTTGAGATATTTTGCAGACTCTGCACTTGATGGATCAGCTGGAACCATCTAGATGGATAAACTAGATCATCTGATCTTGCAGCCCCCACTTAGGAACTGACTCAACACAAGAGGACAGCTTCAACTTCCCATGATTTCATCTCCTACCTAACCAATCAGCACTTTTGGCTCACTGGCATCCCCCTACCCACCAAGTTGTCCCTAAAAACTCTGATCCCCGAATGCTCAGGGAGACTGATTTGAGTAATAATAAAACTCTGGTCTCCTGCACAACCGGCTCTGAGTGATTTACTCTTTCTCTATTGCAATTCCCCTGTCTTGATAAATCAGCTTTGTCTAGGCAGTGGGCAAGGTGAACCCATTGGGCGGTCACAATCTCACTTAGTTCAGGGTTTTTAAGGTGTACTCTGATGTCTCCTTCAGGTCTGGAAGTCCTGAGGCATAGCGCAATATATGGACAGAGAAGCAAATTGAGAAAAGCAGAGAGCAATATAATGGAAGGTTATATAGAGGGCAAGGAAGACTTTGCAAAGTCAGCAAGAGCAGGAGCAGGAGCTGCAGCTTTTACAGACAATGTTGCAATTCCTCTTTACAGTAGATAAAATAATAAAACAGAAAGAGGTGAGACCCCTTTGGTTAGTTATCCTGAACAAACAGGGAATCCAAGAAAATGATACATGGACCATAATACCAAAGATAACAAAAACGAAAGACATAGAAATAGTGTTGGGCATGGCTCCAGGAAAATCAGTAACTAGATAAACCAAAAATAAAATGATAATCCCCCAACTGACTGAAGGGACTCCTTTCTCTTGCCAAAGGGGATCCCCCAAAAACTGAAAAACTAGTTCAGGCCATAGCAGGAAATGGGAGTCAGACAAGCCTCATTAAGCCCCCGCCCTTTGGGGTTTCTGCACAACTGACCAGGATTAACATTAAAATAGAGAACATAAAACTGACAAAACAGACTCTATAGCAATGAAGTACCAAATTCCAACCTGACACTGGTATAGTATCACATGACCCTGAAGGAAGTCAAGGCATTTTACCCCAAAATGTATTTAATTGACATATTTTAAAAGGGGCCTGACAAGATGTCTCTTGTTGGGGCAATTTGCATTCTGTGGAGAATCTCCTTCCCTTTTTAAGTCTTTTCTGGATTCAGACCTTAAAAATCTGACAGGTTTTAAGGTCTGAAAAGAGACATTTACCATCTACTGTCTCTGAAGGCTACTACTTAGAGGCTTCATCTACATAACAAGAAACTTGGCTTCGACAACTCCCGTTAACTCAAGCATTTCTTTCTGGTGACTTCAACTTTAGGCAAAGCTTAACTCTTTCAAGACAATCAGAAAATCTCTGAAATCCACCTAAGACCTGTAAGCACTCCCTCTACCACCTCTCTGCTTCAAGATGCTTCACCTTTCCAAGCCAAACCAATGAATACCTTATATGTTTTATACCTTTGCCTACAACTTCTGTCTCCCTAAAAATATACAAAACCAAGTTTTAGCCTGGCCACCTTGGGCACATGTTCTCAGGACCTCTTGAGACTGTACCCCAGGCCATGAGTACTCATATTTGGCTCAGAATAAACCTCTTTAAGTATTTTACAGAGTTGGCTTTTTATTTCAACACTTTTGCTTTTGTGTTTAATTTTATTTTGTTTTTGGCTATTTGGATTTTGTTTATGTGTGCCCAAACTGTTTTAGGTAATTTAAACACTGCTTACTAACAGATATATTTTTAATAACCTCAAGTAAACACACTGAACCTGGAATAGCCACTGAGGATTTTAGGTCAGCATTTAGCATATGCTCTCTTAGCACACGACTAGGGAGGGACTTACATACAGTGAGAAACCGGTACATAAATTCAAACTGTGCTTCAGTAGAGAGTATTTGTAAGCTTGGCTTTTAATACCATTGCCAGACTGATTAATTCTATGAAGACTGCAATATACTAAGGCATTTCTAATCTATACCTTTTCCCTCTCCCTCTTTCTCTATTATATTTCTAGAAACATGGCTTTGTGTAGAGATTGCAAGAGTTTTTGTTTGTTTTATTTATTTGATTTTTTTTCCTATTTTAACTGAAGACATATTTATAGTATTTGCTCGGAGGGTATTCATTTGAATTATCACTGAAAATGTTGCCATCAGATACAGGAAAACATTGGAGAATGATTCAGTACAACATGCCCTTTTGTCTAATAAAAATTTGCTTCTACGTGACTCTTAGGTTTGTTGCTCAAAGACATCAGCAGCATGTTCAATTATTCATGTTTTCTAATTAAGCCCTGCTGATTGTGCCTAAATGGAAACTTTATTTTGGAGAGAATGTGTTCTTAATGTTTTTCAATATAACAATAATTTGTCAGACTGTGACGTAAGTCTCTTTAGGATCCTTAGGAACCTGTTTGTTTGGTTTAGAACTCACATATAGCTATTAGCCATCATGTTGAAGGTCCTTAACTTGTTTATTTCATGTCTTGTTTAAAGATGATGACATCTGATATTTTGCTAATGTCTGTATTGGAAATATTGAAAAATTCCAAAGACTATTCTGTTGCTATGCAGTTATTTAGCACTTGCAGCATGGAACACTAAAGTGACCTTAATTTCAAATCCAAATAAAGTAATTTTGAATATCATATATATAGAATATATTGAATTGAATATCATATATATATCACATATATATCATCTATGTGATATATATATATTATATATATATATATATTTGCCTCTTCTTTTTGGTTTGTGTGGATGAAAACTGCCTCATACATAAAATCTGGCCAGCTTTCATTACTTTTGACAACATTCACCCTCTAGTCAAAGGAATGTTTGATTTTAAACATGACTCTTTCCCCATTGTGTCTTTCCATTAAACTCCCCTAAGGTAAACCTTCCAAAAGCTTAATCAATGTATGATTCCTCAAAACACTGAAATTTAGATTATTTTAGCCACATGCTCTGAAATCAAAATGACTATAAGCATTTTTAATAATTCCATTCTTATCTTTCCTTAATTTTATGATCTTAGTACATTTCCTTTTACACATATTTAATAGGTAAAAAATATCAAGTAAATATATTAAATTATATAGACTTCTTTAAAGTATTTTCATTTCTTGCAAATGATCCACTGATAAGATAGAAATGAATATTCTAGTTAGTGTGAACAATAAAACAGTGACAATAGGATAAAGTTCTGACTCATCTATTTTGGCTAATAATATTAATCATATTACATAGAGAAATCGTCACTCTGTTATTTCATGAAAAGATACCCCAGGTTTACTACCTTCAAAAAGTAAATTATCTTTTATAAACTGTTTCTGATATTGGTGAAAAATTTTTTTTGTATTTTCTCCTATAGAGTTTATAGAGATTAAAGATATAACTTGAATAAAATAATATCTCGATTAAAATAACACTTGTATCTTTATTTGATATATAAATACATATTAAAATTACTATAAACTCAAATTTATATTTTTATTAGTAGGTATAACATTGGGCCTTGAATTAGAATAGCAAAAAGGTATTTAGGAATTACTTGAATTTTATCAAAGCTTGGAACTAAAATTTAAGACACTTTAAATATTTTTAATATACCTTTTGTCTAGATAATTTAATGTTTAATTAAAAAACCTTATCATTTCACTTATTGTGATAGAAATACAGTGTGAAAAGAACAATTTCAAGCTTTTGACAAATTTTTATACCTGACCTTAACCAGTTTAACATATGTTTGTAAATAATTATTATATACCATATATAAAGAAAGGATTTCAGATAATGTTATGTATGCAACTAACTAAATACTAGAATAAAATAAAATATGGGAACATATAACATTCTAATGGAAAATTTAGTTTTAAGAAAAAGACAAGATAGATCTTCTGATAACATATTTATCTCATATTCCATATCATTTCGACAATGACCATTTGATTAAGCTCTTTAAATTAGTCCTTGGATAGCACATCATACCAACTGAGTAAGAACTGACTCCCTAAATGCTGTGTTGACAAAAAACTTATTTGGAGCAGAACCATTTTTTTATCCTTTTTTTTTTTTTTCAAATGAAAATTTATCACTATGGTGTTTTCACCATTAAAATTTATGATCTTGGTCTTTCCTTCTTGCCTTTGTATAGGGCCAAAAGAGAGACATTGGCTACTTTGACAACCTTAAAGCAGACTCCAGGAATGTCACCAACAGCATGACTTTTTTGACCAAATCCAGCAACCGGAGCTTCATCGTTTTCCTCACCATCATTGGGTACAAAGGCTCTGATTTTCTTACCATTCTTGATGCACTGGACCCTGACACTCTTCCTAGTGGTAGAATTTGGCTGTTTGGCTTCAACTCCTACTTTTTCCAGCATCATTCCTTTTGCAGGAGAAGCACCTCCAAAAGGGTTGGCCTTCGGGGCTGTGCCTAAATGGGCTTTCTTGGTGTTTATCACGCCACTTCTGGTCTTTTCGGTGACTATGGAGCTTCCTAGCATTACGAAGTACACGACACTTGCCCATCCTGCCAGTGCCAAGGGCCTGAGCGAAAGAGAGACTTTTAAACTTTCTAGAAATTATTTATTCATTAAGAGCACATTGTGTTTCGGATGATTCTGAAGTGGATAAAACACCTTACCGTAGAAATACTTTAATGCTAATAGAATTATCATCCACTCTTGAATTTGGGTCTTATTTTATTTTATATTGCCAACCTGTTTATGAACAATATTAAGAGTGACTTACATAGGGCTACATGATGACAATTGTTCACCCATTATAGGATGTCTATGGGTAATTAAATATCTAGAGTTTAATTTGAACGTGGATTCTGTTTATAATATTTGTTTGTATTATTGCAGGTGGAGAGATTTATAAAACAATTTTCTGAGTTCTCTTACTTTGCCACATAGATTTTGCTAAGGCTCTGCAATTTTTGTGGAATGCACTACTGTTGCATTTTCTGTTAAAAAGTACTTTGAATAGTTTTCAGGAAGTTATTGTAAGGAAAAAGTTAGGCCAATATTTTTACCTTTTGTAATCTTCAAACTAGCATTAAAATAGACTGCTTCTACAAAAATATAATATAGAGAAAAAATGAAATAAATCTCTTTATTTATATTTTCCTTAACCAAGTAACTCTGGAAAATATGTATTATTATCTCCAATGTACAGATGAAGAACCAGAAAAATAGAAATAGTCTGAGTCACACAGGTAGAAGGTAAAAAGCTTGGATCTTCCTAGTCCAAATTCACTGTGTCTTAGCCAACTCTCAAATCTGTATGACACTCCCATTCCTACACTGAAGGAACTTTCCCTGGAGGAAAAGTTCTAGAGTCTTAAAGACATGGAAGAAATATGGACTTCTCATGAATGCAACCTTGTTTTTCTCCATCTATATGTTCTTTGAAATATGTAACTCATCAGTGAGTTTGGTTAGATTTGAAGCACTCCAGTGTCCATCAGTAAAGTTTCCTCCTTTTCAAAACTTGTTCCCCTACTGGTTTCTAAATACTCTTTCTTGGTTTTCTTTCCACTACTCTGTGCCATCAAATCTCTCTTATAGGCCGGGTGTGGTAGCTCACGCCTGTAATCCCAGCACTTTGGGAGGCCAAGGCAGGTGGATCACTTGAGGTCAGGAGTTCAAGACCAGCCTGGCCAACATGGTGAAACCCCACCTTTACTAAAAATACAAAAATCAGCCAGGCATGGTGGCATGTGCCTGTAGTCCCAGCTACTTGGAAGGCTGAGGCAGGACAATCTCTTGAACCTGGGAGGCGGAGGTTGCAGTGAGCCAAGATTGTACCACTGCACTCCAGCCTGGGTGACAAAGCGAGACTCTGCCAAAAAAAAAAAAGTCTTTCATAGACCTTGCTTACTAAACTGCCTTTCCATTACACAGTTATTTCTCAGGGTGCCCTTCTTAAACTTCCTATTTAATTAGATATATTCTGCTTGGGTTATCTTGCTAACTACAATGAGAGATTCAAAATGCCTATTGCTAACTCAGACTTTGTCTTCCAACCTCCAGACTAACATTCTAATTCATCGTGCATGTAAAAAAATGCCATGTCAAAAAACAAAAGTAATCGTATCCCTCATATTGCCCTAGGCTGTTGTGTTTCCTACATAATAAACATACAACCATGTGCTCAGTGCCAAGTCATAAATCTTAAAATATTTTTCACTTTGTCCTCCTATATTTATTAATTACAGGTAATTAATTATTCTATTAAGTAAACATTATACAGTTTTTTATGTGTTCTATGACATGCAGAGAACAATTGTTTTCTGCACCGAGGATACAGTGGTAACACTTCATGCATTCCTGGAGATTTTGCTCTAGGTGATAAGAGAGATATTAAACAATCAAAAAACAAACAAAATAAAAACCAAAACCATGAAAATCCGGCTATATTAAGAGCTTATAAAGAGAGGTATTTAATTCCAGGAACACATTTAATGGAATGTTTAGCTTAATCAGGGAAATCAGGAAAGACTTTTCAGAGGAAGGGAAACTTGAGGAGATTGAAGTATGAGCATTGAGTTAACTGGTTTATAAGGTAGAAAAGGGAGAGTTCCAGGTGGGGCATTGCAAGTGTAAAGCCTGTCAGGCCAGATAAAGCACAGTGAGAGCAGCTCAAAGGACTGACTTGCTGGAAGAAAATTAGACTGGGGAAGCATGATAACAGATGAGATGCAAAATGAAGCAGAACACACATGGCCTCATAGAACTTCTAATGGTTCTGTGAGAAATGGTGAACTATTTGAGTTTCTTTTTTATAATCTACATGTTTTAAAAAATTCTCATAGTTAATGGATCCTTATATTTAGTTAACAAATCCTATCTCCATTCCCTTTTTTTTTTTTTTTTTTAAATTGAGACAGTCTCACTCTGTCTCCCAGGCTGGAGTGCAGTAACTCAAATGCTCACTGCAACCTCTGCCTCCCAGGTTCAAGCGATTCTCATGTCTCAGCCTCCCAAGTAGCTGGGACTACAGGCACTTCCCACCATGCCCAGTTAATTTTTGTATTTTTAGCAGAGACAGGGTTTCTCCTTGTTGGACAGGCTGGCCTTGAACACCTGACCTCAGGTGATCTGCCCCACTTGGCCTCCTAAAGTTATGGGATTACAGGCGTGAGCCACTGCACCTTTCTCTTTGCTTAAAATGTTCCTCAATCATGTTGCAGTTGGGCTAGCTCCTATCCAGGACCACTGAGTTGCCAACTGCACTGAGGCTCCTTTCCTTATCTTCCAGTCTGACTTAAGTAGAAGTCTTAGCTTCCTTTTGGGTATACCTTTACACTAATGGCATTATACTACATTGTTTGCTTTTAAAAGTCTTAAGTAAACTCTTTGAGGGTGGCAACTATGTTTTCTTTGCATCCTTCTTTATTAGCATAGTGCTGAGGATGTATGTTATAAAACAGATGTCTGTTAAATAAATAAACAAATGCAAGGAACCAAATCAGAACTAACAGCAGATGAAGTAGGGCAAAGTTTTATTCTTCAATAATCTTGCAATGTACTGAGAGTGGATGATAAATGGCTACAGCAAAAGGAAAATCTTCTGAGGAAAGTATGCAGGTTTGCATATGGCTGGACGTATTGGCGAAAGATTCCAAGAGTAGGTATTATTTCAGATGGGCTTATAATTACCATTATCAATATTTCTACAGCACAAAGATGGATATCACAAGTTGAACTGGGAAGTTCAAGGCCATATATACCCAGGAAACAAAGTCCCTATCAATTTATATGGGCACAGGTAGGGCTTTTACTAGGCTCAGAATTATGTGTTAGTGTGTGAGTAAGCATGAGGCTTTGAGGGATTTGAGCATGACTTTCATGAATATTGATGTTTCAAAAAGATCCAACAGACAGCTTGATGTGAGGATTAACTTTAGAAGAGTCCGGAGATAACGAGACCAGTAGGAATTCTTATAACAATATCTTAGGCCAGAGGATGACAAATGTTTTCTGTGAGAGGCTAGATAGTAAACATTTTGGGCTTTGTGGGCATATGGTCTTTGTTACAACTACTCAACTGTATTGTTGAAGAGTAAAAGCACCATAGATGATATGCAAATGGACAAGCATGGCTGTGTACCAATAAAACATTATTTATAAGACAGGTGGCAGGCCTGATTTTACTTGGCCATAATTTGCTAGGTGAAAGTTAATAAAAGTCTAAACTGGACTGATAGCAGTGAAAATGGAAAAGAAGGGATATCTGTAAGAAAATCATAGAAGTGGAATATATAGCACTGATTTCTTATTATGTGAGTGGCAAAAAAAAAAAAAAAAATGAAAAAGCAGTTAAAAATCACACCAAGATTTGAGACCCAGTGACTGGGAGGCTGATGGTGCCACCAAGAGTAATAGGCATGTTAAGAAAGACGCTGTTTTGGGAGTGAAGATGATTATGTATGTAATAGAGAATCCAGTTAACAGAAAAAAGCTGTGTAGTACTAGAAGCAGTTCATTAAGCTATGAATAATATCGAAAACGCCAAAGCCTGTACCACATGGCGATGAGTTTTTACAAATTTTTTTCCAACTTTTCAATGTTTACATTGTAAATAATGAAGAGGTATATGAGTTTTTGTTAATATTTTAGCATGCTCAATATGGTTTTATTAGTATTCTATATAGAATGCATTGCTCTTTCACCCATCCATCTGTGATATAAAACAAACTGGGCTATTATAAAAAGCATTTATTTCAGAAAATAGTAACCTATTTCTTGCTATAAATAAGTCTACAATATATGGTGCTTGACAAATCGGATTGTATTCTGTTTTCTTTATTCAAACTTCAAGAGGATTTAATTTTGATTTTAAGCAGTCAAACTGAAATAAGATTAACTATAAACTATTTTTCTCCATTTATTTTTCTGGACAGGCAAACTTTACTGTGCATTTCAATTAGAAACATACTTGTCAGGTGGTAAGGAAAAAGGAATAGGTGAGTCAGCAATGGAATACGACAGGCTTCTTTACCAAGTCTGAAAAAAACAATGATTAGGACATGAATTATTCAAAGCCACACTGAAACTAGTCAGCAACATTGAAATAGTGTTCAATACACCTGAAACCTGTTTAGGGGAATTATTTTAACTTCTACTTCTTAAATATCTATAAAATTTCCTTGTTAAAACAAGAGCTAGAAAGAATTTCTTTAAAGTTCCACTTCATTAGGAGGGGCTTGTAAACATTGCTATTATTATTCTCTATTGCAAGGAAAGTTTTGACCATAGTTAAAAATTGTGCTCCTAGCTATAACATCAAATAACTAGGACTCAGCTGCTTATGCCTTTTTATAAGTTTCCTATCTCTCATTTTTTTTCATTACCATTCAATCTCATTATGTGTAACCTTTCCCAAAGATCTATTCAGACTTCAGAAACAATTCACAAATCCTATTTCAAGTAGATCGTTGATCTGAAATGTGTTTTTCCTATTGTGAGTCAAACTGAATGGCTTCTTCGGAAAGACCTTTTATATCTTAAATACCCTAAGGGAAATATTTTCTCTAAGGAATTTTAAAAGAAGAAGTATGAAACAGTTATTTGCTGTGCATTTGAAAAATATACTGCTGGCCATGTGCAGTGATATTTAAAACACATTTAAATTATGCCTACCTCTTCTCTGCCTTATTATATGGAATAAAATTAATCATTTATTAAAGTTGGAGTGATGGCAGATCATACCTTGTTCTATTAATCCATAAACAGATCTGAGTATATTTGATATATCATAGAACCTATACCAAAGACGTATTTGAAACTGAAGAAGACAATGGAAATTAAGGCCTTTGTGTGCTGAGGAAGAGGGAGCTCACGTAAATACTTTAAGTGTCTTCCCTGTTGTACTAAATTTTAATGACATCTTTGGGGTAATTGAACTTTAAGTGAAAAAGAAATCTGATCATACAATGTGGTATTTAATATTTTCTTCCAAACAATTAATTATATAAACCACTCAAAAGAGTTTAAGTATAAACAAATCATACAAAATATTTTTATAGCAATGATCATCAAATTGGGGTATAAGTACCCTTGGTGGGGAGGGTCAGGAAGACTTCTCACATGGTAAATGGGCACAGATAATTGTAAGGATAACAATTGTTAGATTTTGAATGTCATTATGTATCCTTTTGTATGGGTGAGGCGGTCATGCAGGGTCTCTTTTCTCGTGTCCCTTTCATAATTACCCTCTGACTTTCGCAGCAATAATTTTCATTTGATGACCTTTATTTGTTCATCATTCTGTCAAATAATGCACTGTTTCTAAGGAAGAAAGCAGCAAAGTATTAGTCATAAAACTCCCGACAAAGCCCTGTATCTATCCAAGCATCTATATATCATCTATCCAGCTATTATCTAACTATTTATGTATCTTAGAATTAGAATTCAGAATTGAAATTATCCTCGTGGGATGCAAATTGACATATATTTACTTGAATTGGAAATGAATTCAGGCTTTTTGATTTCATGTTTGTTTTCTGAGAGAGGGTCTCGTTCTGTCACCCAGGTTAGAGTGCAGTGGAGCAATCATGGCTCACTAAAACCTTGACCTCCAGGACTCAAGCAATCTTCCCACCTCAGATTCCTGAGAAGTTGGGACCACAGGTGTGCAGTCAGGCTTTTTCTGACAGGAAGAATGCTACTATGGTTTTCCTTGACAGCAGGTCTAGCTTTGTGTATTGGTTATATGTCAGACATTTTCTTTTTATAATGATTGAATGATCCAAAATATCAGCCCCAAGGCTATACAGCATATGATACTGAAGAAGAATTTTATCAAAATTTACATTAATGATATTTTAATTTTCTCAAACCTTTCTGAATGCATCTGAATAGTGCTTCTACATGAAAGAGAAACAGGCATGAATAATAGTTATTTGATATATCTGAGTAAAGCCTCATTTGGAATAGTTAACAGAAGTTGAGAAAATAATAGATTCTAAGGAAATATATTTCAAGCCAGGTGATTTCCAATCACTGCAGTCACTGAAAATGAATTAAAAGCTAATGATATGCCAGCTAATATTTTTCATAAAGTGATATTATTTAATTGGTGTTCTTAACCAGCATTTAGTAGCAATCATCCTATATGATCTTACACCAATGTATATTTTGGAGAGGATGAGGGCTTTGAAAAAACATATTAAGGGAAAATCTGATAAATTATTTAATTCAATTACTGTAGTCATCCTAGATAATTCAACTGTAATATAAAACAATATTTTATTAATAGATTTCACTTAGCAGTTTTAGGTTCACAGCAAAATTGAGAGGAAGACACAGAGATTTCTCACATTTCTCTTACCCCCACGCTTTACACAATCATAGCCTCCCCATTATCAACATCTGCCATTAGAGTGGTACATTTGTTACAATTGGTGAATCTACATTGGCATATCATTATCATCCGGAGTCCGTATTTCACACTAGGTCTCACTTTTGGTGTTGTATATTCTGTGGGTTAGGACAAATGTAAAATGATAGGTATCCAGCATAATAGCATTATGCAGACTAGTTTTACTGTCCTAAAAATTCTTCATGTTTGACCTATTTATTACACCCCCACCCCTCCAACCCCTAGAAATCACTGATCTTTTTAATGACTCTAAAATTTTGCCCTTTTCAAAATGTCATATAGTTGGAAGCAGACACTATGTAGTCTTTTCAGATTGAGTCTGGTCACTTAGAAATATCCATTTAAGATTCCTCCATGTCTTGTCATGGCTTAATAATCCATTTCTTTTTAGTGCTGCATGATATTCTATTGTCTAGATGTACCCAGTTTATCTATTCACCTAAAGGACATCTTGGTTGCTTCCAAGCTTTGGCAAATTATAACTAAAGCTGCTACAAACATGCGTGCAGGTTTGTGTGTGTCATTATCTTTGGATAAATTTCAAGGGGATTGATTGCTGGATCAATGGTAAGAATATGTTCAATTTTGTAAGAACTCACCCAACAGTCTTCCAAAGTAGTTTGCCATTTTTGCCTTCCCATCAGCAATGAATGGAAGTTCCTGTTGCTCCACATCCTCACCAGCATTTGGTGTTGTCAGTGTTCTGGATTTTGATCATTTTAATAAGTATAGAGTGGTGCAAAATTTTTTTCTTTCTTCTTCTTTTTTTTTACATCATTTTGCTACCATCATTTAGCAACATTCTTGAAAATTTTGTTTATTTTCCCTGTGTTGGCAAACCACAAAGATGATAATTTGTTCATTTTGATCAAATAACCATGAAGATGTTTAAAGGAGAAAGTTAATATTCTACAGTGTTTAGTAGATGATAAATTTATCTGAAATCTTATAATAGAAATTGTATTAGAGGGAATCTGATAGAATTTTAACAATACTGGTTTTTTTTTGTACTCAGCATAGCAGTCTCTTGATTTGTTTAGACAAATCAAGTAATATTAGTTAGTAAAAGTTATTGGTTAAACAGTGTTTCCCAAGGTGTAAGATGATGTTTGCTGGTAGAGAGGCTTAGCACTAAGTATCATTGAATCACACAACTATTTCTTTTTTGATTTTCCTTTAGTCCTCGTTAATGCATTATGGAGAAAATATCAGTTTGTTGCTAGTATATTTTAACATTTTCCTAACACTTTTCATTATCTCTCAGCAGGAAATAGAATTTAACTGAAGCTTAATACCATTGAAATATTTTTATTGTTGTAATGAATTATAGCTGTGAAGTCTTTGTTCTTGAAAGCCAGACTATCATGGTTTAATTCTTGGCTCAACTAGCTTGGAGACCTCAGGTAAGCAAGATATGTATCTTAACCTCTTTGTGCTCCAATTTTTCCTAATTAGCACTACTTTTGAGGATTGTTAGATCATAATGATACAATATTTACTCACTAAGAATTTCAAACATATTTTCTGTCACCTATTGTGGCTTAAAAGTGTTAATTATCACATTTATTCTCTTGTTACTTTGCATTTATTTCAAGTGATACTGATTTTCCATTCATGGAAGTAAAAAGTAATTGATTCAAAGAAATATTTGCTAATAATTGGATATAGATATTGGGATACTATAAAAATTACAAATGTAATTTCTAAATGAATAATTTGTAGAGTGGTAACTGTTGACATTTGGCCCTTAGGGTTTTATTTAAAGTACATATCCTACTTTCAGCTAGAAAGATTTATCTTGTGGCAATATAATGTTGCAGCCCCTCTACTGAAGAAAACAGAACATATGGTTAAAGTACCAGACAAATTCAGTATGAAAGATTCTGGAAGCTGCTGAGATAGCCAGGACTAGGAGGCCAAGATTCGAGAGAGAAGGGAACCACAAAGAAAGAGTTATCATTCTGGAAGCCATTTTTCTTCTTAGGGCATTTGTCAATGCTTACCTCCGTGTAAGAAGAAAAAAAAATGCAAAGGGCTGCAGACAAGGAGCAGAGAAGCTAGCCAAACAGTAAGTACCAAGTTTCTGGAGACAAAAATTTGAGTTCAGGGCTGCCAGGGCAGCCAGGATTTGAGGTGCAAGGTCCTGGAAAGAAGACTGGCAAGAAAAGTGAGCTGTATGCTGTTGTTGTTACTTTTATTGTTAGCATTTGCTGAAATTTGAAGCTGGCAAGAAAGAGCTAAGAAGCCCAAGCAGAAAGCCACTGTTCTAAGGTTTTCTACACACTCATAGATCAAGTGTTCCATCAGCCCTCAGTTAGTGATACTGGCTGAGGGTCCGTACTCTGCAGAATAGAAAACCTGTACCCAGTGAGGATGGATTACTGGTCTTTCCAAGACAGAAGGGGTCTAATGTAGTCAAATTGGCACCAAGCAGTAAGTTGATTTCCTTGAGAAATGATGCCATGTGAGGGCTCTACATTAGTCTCTGTCAGTTAGAATATTCAGAGGTGCCATGACTAAATCAGCCTTGGTACATAAGAGAACATGTGGTTGGGTTATGTGTACCCTCTGCCACATGTCTACTCCATTCAAGCGCCCACTGGGTCAGTTCCATGGTTGGACATTGGCAAAATTTGGTTAATATCTACTGGATAAGGAATTTTTCTTCTTTGCTTTTTCAGTACCTTTTCCATGAGGGTTGCATTCTGGTAGATGTTAATGTGTGATTCAAATATCTTTTCACTTTTGTGCTAACTCTCATATATCTACTGACTCTTGTGTCTGTGTCAGGCTTTCTCATATCTGATCTTAGAGGATTTTTTACTTCCAGGACCCTGACCAGCTGATGAGATCATTGGCACTGTACGTGAATCTGGATATAGTCTCATTTAAGGCTACTTCTGCCTCCACAAAAAATGTGATGGGAGCCTCATTTACAGATTTGCTTCTCAGAATTTTTCCTTCTCTTCAGTCTTTCAACTCCCTCCCTGAATATAGTTGCAATGTAATCACCATCCATTTTTGCTTGTCTCCACACATCAAGATGACCCATCAATAAACCAAGAAGGGCTTTTGTATTAGTCCATTTTCACACTGCTATAAAGATACTACCCCAGACTGGGTAGTTTATAAAGGAAAGAGGTTTAATTGACTCAAAGTTCTGTATGGCTGGGAGGCCTTGAGAAACTTACAATCGTGGCAGAAGGTGAAGGGGAAGCAAGGCACCTCTTACATGATGGCAGGTGAGAGAGAAGAGCAAGCAAGCAAAGGGGAAGTGTCACACTTTTAAACCATCAGATCTTGTGAGAACTCACTCACTGTCATGAGAATAGCATGGGGGAAACCTCCCTATGGTCCAATCACTTCCCACCAGGTCCCTCCTTTGACATGTGGGAATTATAACTTGAGAGGAGATTTGGGTGGGGTCACAGAGCCAAACCATATCAGCTTTTTCCTCCTCCTTCAGGTTGTCGGATAGGTACAGATATAGTCAGGGCAGGTAGCACGGGGATTCTGACTACCTGTTTATCTACCTACTCATGCCCTCTCATCCTACTTGGAGCTATAACTTGTGTCCCATTTTCACCTTATAATGAACTACTACTGGCCTCGTCGAATTTATAACTGGGAGAGTCATAGGTCATGATGGGCATTTATGAATCATGTTCAATTGTTGCCCAAGTGTGTCCTCTTTCTATCAGGGTTCAATACCATTCTAGGAGGTGTTTCTTGAAAAGCATATAATTTTCTAGTGCAGATGACATGGCCTTGCACCCAAGTCTCAAGAGACTACATTGTGATTCTCTCATGTGTATTGCTATAAATACTACACTTGTATGTTGTCACCACTGAAATCTCTAACTCCAGAGTTTGCCATGCTGTGATACAAGCTGAGGGCTGCTTGTACCGTAGCCAGCAGCTGCTGCAGATCCTTTCCTGTTTTGAACCCCATTCAAGCCCAATAGCCTTCTGAGTCTCCTGGTATATGGGCCAAAAAAGTATTTCCAGTTGTTTCTATATGTGTTGCCTTTGGAAACTTAAGAGACTCTCCAGGCATTGTGCTTCTGTCTTTGTGACAGGGGATGCAAAATGAAGCAACTTAATTTTTACTGTCCATACTGTGGATACCTATGTTTATGTTATCACTTAAACATTTTCCCTCTGTTCGGTATTAATACGACTTAAGGAACAGTCAAGTTCACTGTCCCTATAGTATTTCCCCAATTCCCCTCCTCCCATTATACAAACGACTACATTATTACACCAGCAAGGTGTTTGCCTCCAATAGACATTTCTCTAAGTTACTACCAGTGAAATATTTAGCAATTGGGTCACCACTTTTGCACAAAACTACTTGTGTCTCACAGCTTACTCAGGATTGCATTCTTCTTGCCAGCCAGGATGCAAGTGAACCAGTTCTAAACTCTATCTTTTTTACTTATTTTCTTGAACACTCTCAAAACCAACTTTGCTCGTGTCATCTTAGAAGATCTCAAGATATGATTAGACATAAATAAGAATTATTGTGGTAAATGCCTGTGAAGGTTAAGGAGAGAGGACTCATGAATGATGAAAAAAGACTTTAAAACATAAAGCAGACATGTCCCCTATGAAATAAGAGAAGGGAAAAAGGAGGATGAACTCGAAAGAGTTTGTGTTGTAGAACTGCTTTGACAAAGTTGATGGGGAGATCTTAGGAATGGTCTGTCATTAAAAGAGTATCATATTGGGCTGAAATGTTCCATCTGTAGTACCCCCTGATACACGCAGTCATTGTCTTGCAGCAGCCTCTAGGAAATGAAGCCTCAGATTGAGCCCCATGGAGAATTTGAAGGTGTGCTGGTAGGGGGTTGTGAGTCTTCCTGAAATCGTAGGCCTTCTTGAAGGGAGATCTGTGTGATACACACCCATGGACAGACAATGGAATTTTAAAAATTCCTACAAAACCCAATGACTTAAGTATATATTATGTTCTTTTTATAAGCTATAAAGAGGGAATTAGTTCAAAAAGACAAGCAAAAAGGAAGTGTGGCATTAAAAATCGGCTGGAAAATTTGACAGGAGAGAAGCAAATAAAAAGGAGAGAAACAAAAAGATAAACTTACAGAATTTTAAACAGGAAGAAATAATAGACATAGTCTAAAATATTTAATATTTGAAAGAGAAACCTGAAAAATGGAAAAATTAAGATCGCACTGCTGGTATTTACCTATTTATTTATTATACCATTCATATCCAAAAGGAAATGATATGAAATACAGACATTATTTTACGGAGTTTGAAATAGATGATATAAAACACTCTAGGTTTGTAGTTCTAAGTAGTCATTTCAAACCCTTGTTTGTATGTCTTTTTTATGCTCTATGTATCAAGAATTATGTAAGAAAAACAAACATTTGGACAGTTCTTAATAGCAGAAGAATACAACTAGCTTTGAAAATTAATGACATGTTAAGAACATATTGAATAGAAATAACAATGAATTGTTAAAGTAAAAAAAAAGGTTGAGGCTACTTTATATAAAATTTTTTGGAAACAAGTCTCCTATCTGTATAAAAGTATTAAGTCTAAAGAAATTTTTCCACAATAAACTAGAAAATGGCACAACCATTGACTGTGCCTGACAGGGTAATGGAAAGGAGAATTCAAAACACGACATGATATCCTCTTTCAGAAATGACAGCATATCTTCCATTGACCTATCCTCCCATGAACAATAATTGTAAACACTGGAAAAAAATTAACAAACAACCCTTTGAATGCACTGTGGAGCAATGAAGGACAGACAGAAACTGTAGTGGGCTCCTTATTGCAAACTCCTGGCATATGTTATATCCTCAATTGTAATTTTAGAGGATTTCCTATTTTATCTGAATTGGTAGCAGTAATAATGGCAGTGAGATCTCTGATAATGATGACCAGATAGATGCTAATTATGATGAAATCTCTATGACAGATTTTATCTCTGAGAGAGAGTTTGTTGAAGCCCAGTCTATGAATATCATCTTAGTTCACCGTAGCTGAGAGAGCAAAACCTGTAGCACTCACTATAAATTTCTGAAGCTTGAAGTGCTTTTTAATGAGATCTTTTCCCATCTTCCATCACAGATAATGACACTTTCCTCTCAGTTCAGAAGCGTGATGAGATGGAATTCCAACAGCAATAGTAACTGCAGTGGTGACATAAAGAGTTAAAGACATGAAATGCTATTGGAAGGCAGCATCTTGGAGGGCTGGACAGCCCTGAACTCTGTAATCCTGATGGAGGACCAGCAAACATGATCCATAAACTGGCCAGCTCTGTGGACAATGGAATCGCATCCTGGCTTCTTAAAATATTTAGGGAAAAGCTTATTGTAATGTACTAGGCTTCCCAAGACTCTGCGGTGGAACATTTAGAACATTACAATTTGGAGATAAAGGTTAACATGGCCTGCTTACTCACAAGCTTGGAAGGCCTATAATATAAGTCTCAATTACAGTATATTATTTGCTGAGGCTCTTAAAATTTCTGATTAATTTTGTGTAAACTCTAAGTAGAATTCCCATATGCCAAAATCATGAATATTAACATTCACATACAGCCTCTAAATTGAGTTATATTGGTCAACAATAGAGGAAAAATATTTTAAAAGCAATGTTATTATCTTTCGTGATGGATAGTTCTTAAGAATGTTGTGGAAGTATTTTTGAAAATCTAATGGCAAATTTAATCTGGAGATAAGAGATTAGCTAATGATATCATTGGAGTGAAACTTGAAAGTCTCATTTCTGAATGTCAGAACAAGGATGGCATAAGGAAAGCCTAAAGGCAAGACCTGGAGAACACTGGTAGGTATAGCAAGGTTACTAGGGTGGTGGTCATGGTCAGGAATATATTCAAATGCCAGTTGATAAAGAAGTATTAAATCCCACTTTGGGAGGCCTAGGCAGGTGGATCACTTGAGGCCAAAAGTTTAAGATGTGCCAAAACCCCGTCTTTACTAAAAACAACAAAAATTAGCCAGGCATGGTGGCACATGCCTGTAATCCCAGCTACTTGGGAGGCTGAGGCACAATAATTGCTTGACCCTTAGAGGTAGGGGTTGCAGTGAGCCAAGACTGCACCACTGAACTCCAGCCTGGGTGACAGCGAGACTCTGTCTCAAAAAAAAAAAAAAATCCAGACAGTGTGAATCACAAGGACAAAGTCTACAGATCAGAGGCTGATTCTAAAATGAAGCGCAACTTCCTAAATGATAATTTAATAAAAAATAAATTAAAAACCTTCAGAGCTGAAAGTAAATGAAGACATGAAGAGAAAACACTAAAATACACCAAAAAGGTCATGCAAAAAAAAAATTAAAAGTATTATCAACATTTGAGAGAATTGAAGATATGAATACAAAGGGACCCAGGTAAAATTCCAAAGGTGAAATAGAATTTCAAGTCTCTTGGAAACCACATACAGCAGCTACGGGAAGATTTTTCTATGTTTGTTTCATACAGTTTCCATAACTTGGGGAAAATGCAACTTTCTGTTTCTTGATGATGTGATGTGTGACTTCTGGGAGTATGATGCTATTAATTGCATAAATGCTTGATTATGCCAGTTTTATTAGCTGTGATTCTTTGAATTCTAAAAACCAAATACAGACATTAAAATAAAATCATAAACATAAAGATAGATTCAAGATCAAAACTCTGCCATATCTAAAATTATATGCCTCTTGTTTTCTTCCTTCTCAATGCAATCTTCTGTTATTTAATAGCATAGATCTAGTTTCCATACCTGATAATTATTTTAAGAAATATTAATTATATTTCTAGTAACTAGTATATTTAAAATTTAAAATATTAATGTAGAGAAAATAGAAATGATGAATAAAAATTGAATACAACTATGGGACAATAAGAATGACTTAAACATTACCAAAAGTATCATTGCAATTAACATAATTTTTTAAACATAAAAATTAACTGATCATATGAGCAGGATATTATCTTAAAACACTGTTCCACATTCATTTTTGGTAGATGATGGAAAAATCTGAAGATTATGTTTTCGTGAGAGTAATGTTTCAGTTCATTTGAAAGTACTTTCATTTTTTTAATGGAGAAACCAGATTGTTAGGAAAGAAAAAAGGAGACTAGCACACTCATTCAAAGAGATGGTACATTTCCAGCCACAGTTGTTCACTGATACTTTATTGTTTTGTTGAGGCATTTGTCCCCTCTTCTACCCCATTCCCATTCTCAGAATGCCATTCCATTCCTTAGTCAGCAAGAAAACTGCAATATACTTAAATTTAAACCCAAATGGTTTTTATTGTTTGTTTGTGTGTCCAAAGCAAACATGTTTTCCTAAGTTATCTAGCAATTCATTTGTTTTTCTTTAAATTTCTGGATACTATCAAACTTTGAATGCATACAAATCTATGTTTTTACTATAGAATTAAAAAAAAATCCATCTAGTGTCAGGTAATGGCTGAAGTTTTAACCAAGAGTTGTAAAATTTTTAAAAATAAAACTCTGCCTGCCAGACAGTTTCACATTTGGGAACTCGGCTTTGCTTCACATATCCTGGCATGTAAAATAGTTTCCACATTCTCAGAAACCTAATGGTAATTCCACATTGCTCTTTCCCTCTGGGGGTTCACAGAATTTGTATCAGATTGCAACCTCTCTAGAAGCTCATGTTCATTTAAAAATCTTTCCCCACCTTGAGCTTTATTTGTATTTCTCATTCCATACTATTTTTCATGAGTTCAGTAGTTTTCAGGGAAAAGAATTTCTTATACTATTACTTAACCATAACAATCAATGATACGAAATTCTGCAGGTGAAGTTGGTGGCTGAGGATTTACAAAGACATCTCAAAATGAAGGAACTAATGTAGAACATTAGATCTCAGTTGAAAAACTCTCCATCCCACATCATAATCTAATATTAGTCTTGTTTTTATAAGAACATTTCTATGTATGAAAATACATAAATGAGAGGAAAAGAACTCCGACACTCAAATTATTTATAGACTAAAGGCTGAATTATTTTTCTAAATGTGAAGTAAGGATATTGCATTAGGCCATTCTTGTGTTACTATAAAGAAGTATCTGAGACCAGGTAATTTATAAGAAAAGTGGTTTAATTGGCTCACAGTTCTGCAGGCTGTACAGGAAGCACGGTGCCAACATCTCATTCTGGGGAGGCCTCAGGGAGCTTTTACTCATGGGAGAAGGCAAAGCAGGAGCAGACACCTCACACAGCAAAAACAGGAGCAAGAGAGAGAGAGAGAGTGGGGAGGAGATGCCACACACTTTTAAACGACCAGATCTCATGTGAATTCAGAGTGAGAGCTTGCTTATCACAAAGGGGATGTCTCAAGCTATTTATGAGGGATTCATCCCATAATCTAAACACCTCTCACCAGGCCCTACCTCCAACAATGGGGATTACATTTTAACATGATATTGGGGTGGGGACAAATATCCAAACTATACAATTACATTCCTGGTCCCACCAGATTTCATGTTCTTCTCACATTGAAAAATACAATCATGTCTTCCCAATAATCCTCCAAAATCTTAACTTATTCCAATATTAACTCAAAAGTGTAAAGTTCAAGGTCTTATCAGAGACAAGGCAAGTCCCTCACTCACACCTATGAGCCTGTAAAATAAATAAATAAATAAATAAAAGTTAGTTACTTCTAATATACGATGGGGGTATATACATTGGGTAAACATTCCCATTCCAAAAGGGAGAAATCATCCAAAAGAAAGGAACTACAGGCCCCATGCAAGTTTGAAACCCAGTAGGGCAGTCATTAAATCTTAAAGTTCCAAAGCAATCTATTTTAACTACATGTTCCACATCCAGGACACACTGGTGTGAGGGGTAGAGTCCCAATGCCTTGGACAGCTCTGCTCCCTGTGTCTTTACAGGGTAAAGCTCCTATATCTGCTCTGAGATTGTTGAATGCCTACAGGTTTTCCAGGCCTAGGGTTCAAGTTGCTAGTGATCTACCATTCTTGGGTCTGTAGGATGGTGGCCCCCTTCTCACAGCTCCACTAGGCAGTTCCCCAGTGGGCATTCTGTGTGGGGCCTCCAACCCCTTACTTTCCCTCCACAATGACCTAGAAGAGGTTCTCTGTGAGGGCCACTCCTGTCACAGGCTTCTGCCTGGGTACCCAGGCTTTCTCATAGATCCTCTGAAATCTAGATGGAGGTTGCCAAGCCTTCACTCTTGCATTCTATTTGCCTGTAGGCTTAACACAATTTGGAAGCTGCCAAAGCTTATGGCTTGTGCTTTCTGGAGTGGCAGCCTGTGCTGCACCTGGGGCCCTTTGAGCCATGGCTGGAGCTGGAATGGCGGGGTTGCAGGGAGCAGTGTCTCAAGACTGCAGGGCAGTGAGGCCATGGGCCTGGCTTACAAAACCATTCTGTCCTCCTAGGTCTCAGAGCCTGTGATAGGAAGGATTGCCTCTTAGATCTCTAAAGTGCCTTTGAGGTATTTTCCCCAGTGTCTTAAATGTTAGCACTTGGTTCCCTTTTAGTTATAGAAATAACTCTAGCAAGTGCTTGTTCCACAGCCTGCTTGTATTCATCTCCTGAAAAAGCTTTTTCTTTTTCTGTCATATAACCAGGATGCAGATTTTCCCAACTTTTATGCTCTACTTCCTGTTTAAATATAAATTCCAGCTTTGTTATTTCTTTGCTCCTGCAACTGAGCATAGGTTGTTAGAAGCAGCCAGACCCCATCTTGAATACTTTGCTAGTTAGATAGTTCCTCTACCAGATACATTAGACTGTCACTCTTCAGTTTAAACTCCCACAGATGCCTAGGGCATGGGCAGAATACAGCCAAGCTCTTTGATAAGGAATGACGTGTGAGCTTTGCTCCAGCTCCTTATAAGTTCTGCATACTCATATGAGAACTTGGCAGCCTCGACTTCACTATTCGTATCACTATCAGCATTTTGGTCACAACCATTCAACCAGTCTCTACGAAATTTCAAACTTTCTCTCATCTTCCTGTCTTCCTCTGAGCCCTCCAAATTCTTCCAACCTCTGCCTGTTACCCAGTTTCAAAGTTGTTTCCACATTTTCAGGTATATTTATAACAATACCCAGCACCTAGTACCAACTTTCTTTATTAGGCATTCTCGTGTTGCTATAAGGAAATATCTGAGACTGGGTAATTTATAAGAAAAGACATTTAAGTGGCTCGTGATTCTACAGGCTGTACAGGAAGCATAGTGCTGGCATCTGCCTCTGGGGAGGCCTCAGGAAGATTTTACTAACAACAAAAGGCAAAGCAGGAGCAGACACTTCACATGACAAAAACAGGAGCAAGCACGAGTTGGTGAGGAGGAGCCACACACTTTAAAATGGCCAGATCTCATGTGAACTCAGACCAAAAGCTCACTTATCACCAAGGGTATGGCTCAAGCCATTCATGAAGGATCTGCCCCCATGATCCAGATACCCCCCACCAGGCCTCACCTCCAGCATCGGGGATTACATTTCAACATGAGATATGGATGGAGATAAATATCCAAACTATATCAGATTTTAAGATTTAAAAAGAATGGCCATGTGCAATGGCTCACACCTGTAATCCCAGTGTTTTGGGGGGCTGAGGCAGGAGGATCACTTGAGCCCAAGAGTTTGAGACCAGCCGGGGCAACATAGTGAGATCCTGTCTCTGCTAAAAACTAAAACACTGCTCTGGCCTGGTTGTGAGTGCATGTGTTCCTGTCTACATGGGAGGCTAAGGTGGAAGGATTGCTCGGACCCAGGAGTTCAAAGTTACTGTGACTTGTGATCTTTCTGTTGCATTCCAGTCTGGGTGACAGAGTGGGACCCTGTCTCTGAAAATAATAATAGTAACAATAATTGTTATCATTTAAATTTGGCTGAAATATGTGAGGATGAGTAATTTGGTCTAAATTATCTGCCTATATTGCTAAGTCACTGGAAAACTGCAGTGCAAAACTTCTGATTTTTCTGTACAATCTAATCATAGCCAGTAATTATATCTAATCAAATTTTATGTATAGCAACCACAATTAGGTTAAGTGGAAATATATTTTTAATACATGCTTTTTGATGATGATAATGGTTAAGTGGTGAAAAAGTAACTGAAATAAACTTATTTATATTTTAACAAGTACAGCTTTGTCTAGGTAAAATTGATGAGCATAATTAGAGTATTTCTCAGTAAAGTCTATTATAGATTCCAAAATGTATTTTCACATAGGATAAATAAATTGAATCCTTTTATTTTCTTCTGGAAATTTACTATATGTAAAAAAGAAGGCAGGAAGGGAATTAAAGGAAAAAGTCCATTCTTCTGATGGCCTTTAAGTATCAAAGTAAACAGAAAATAACCTATTCCAACTACTGTTCCCATTGCTAAAATTGTCTTTTATAAATTTAAGAAAAAATATTAGTAGCAAACATATGATGCAAAGGATCACAGAAACTGGACAAAAACTTTTTTTTCTCTAAGCTTAACTCTTGCAGACAATTTATATGACAGTAGACTGCATTGGCTTATTTATGCAGTCTTTTATTTATTTGTTTATAGATACCTTGTCACTCTACTCCTCTATCAGGAAAGGTTGTTGCCAAAGTGCATAGTATTTTTATAGCATGTCTGAAAGTATCAAAATCAGCACTAATAAACCCAGTATACAATTTTTCAGTTTAGTTAAGTAGTATTGCCTGAACCACTGCAATACGAATCAAAATAAGGAGCATTTTCACTTATTTTTTCAGGTACATTGCTGACAAGATTTGTGGATAATGACTGAAAAGAAAATAACGTTTTCTTTTCATGTTTTGTTGTTGCTAATGTTGATGTTTTACATGTAGTTATGGGTTTCAATAGACTTCTCCCTGAACCACAAAGGTGGATTTTAAAATGATATGTACATTAGTATGAGACGTAGTAGAAATACAGTTTAATTTCTCATATTAAGAGGTAAAATGTATCGAGGATGGCTAGCCAAAAATGCAGTTGTAGAAATCAGTCCAAAGTTTTCAAATGGAGAGTCTCAGTTTAACCAGGGATATCTGGGGACTGAATTTAGAGTGTTTCCCTTTTCTATCTACTACTTAGATATTCCCTTTGCTGAGAAACATTAGCCAATCAGAAAAATAAGCTGGGTTCTTCTCTTTTCTTTTTCTTTTTTTAGATAGGATTTCACTCCCATCACCCAGGCTGGAGTGCAGTGGCAGTATCTCAGCTCACTCACTACAACCTCTGCCTCCCAGACTCAAGGGATTCTCCCACCCCAGCCTCCAGAGCAGCTAGGAATACAGGCACATGCTACTGCTACTGGCTAATTTTTGTATTTTTAGTGAGATGGGGTTTCACCATGTTGGCCAGGCTGGTCTCAAACACCTGGCCTCAAGTGATTCTCCTGCCCTGGGCTCCCAAACTTCTGGGATTATAGGCATGAGCCACCGCACCCGGCCCAAGCTGGGTTATTTTCTATATGTAGTAAAGTCTCTCTGCCCAGTTTAAAGGAAGACTAAAGAGTATGTCTTTTGATGAATAATAAGTTCTCCCCTGAGTAACTGAACATAATGAAAGCCAAATTCTTGTTTTCTCAGTAGGAAAAAATTAGAGAAAGATTTTCTTTGCCAAATGTAGTAGTCATGACAGGCTGTTATACACACTAACGCTTTCTGAAACCCCACTGTCTGTATTATGGTAAAAGTATAAACTTTTATGTCTCAGGTGTACTCCACTAAAGCTATTAGAATCAGAAAACATGTATTAGAATGGCACATTCACATCTGATTGATGAAGCAAATGTTCCTTAGTATACAGATTGCTCCCACCACTCCATTGCATACAATTTCCTTGTGATTTAGAGATCAGTCTACTTTTGGTTTGCTGATTTTTATGAGATTTGATTTTATGATATTTGATACCTACATAGAAGTGGTTACTGTCATATTCCACAACTGGCTCAAAGGAGAATTCTTTATAAAGATTTATACACATTGTAAACCACTCAT
Source organism: Homo sapiens (assembly GCF_000001405.40). NCBI lineage: Eukaryota > Metazoa > Chordata > Mammalia > Primates > Hominidae > Homo > Homo sapiens. Next base: position 137,427,212 of record NC_000004.12, on the reverse strand, counting down.
CCTCATATTGAAACACCTTTAAAAATTAATCTTCTTTCTACCACCCGCCATATATCCCATGATAGCACCTGTGGATTTTCTATAAGGCGATGACAGAATCAAATCTAAAAATGCAATATTCTCTAAACTTTAAATTTATTATATTGATGGGAATCTGTTCATGTAAGGATTAATCTTTGGTCTTAATTCTACAGAATAAAGAGAAGAGCATATATAGAGAGGTCTCCATATTATATCCTTACTATAAAATAAAGAAGCAAATAATTGGTTGTCCAATTTTTAGTGAAGTCTTTCTACATTATTAACAATGGTTTCCCATACAGAATAGGGTTTATATATAAATTAATATATTGTAAAAGAACGATATAATTCTTCCCCAGAATCAGACTAAAGACATAGAACGGCCTTTTTTCTACAGATCAGAATGATGGGTAGAATATTCCTGGAAGAACCATGATTGTCTTGAGCTCAACCTGACACCTACTGAACACTGTCAAATATGACTTGGTATGTTCCATATGAATGTATAATATGAACTACATGATTGTATACCCTGCATCTTATGTCTTTATATCTTTATCTACAAATTCTAGGGTATTTTCTTTTTCTTTTTTTTTCTTTTTCTTTTTGAGACAGAGTCTCACTCTATCGCCCAGGCTGGAGTGCAGTGGCGCGATCTCGGCTCATGCAAGCTCCGACTCCCGGGTTCATGCCATTCTCCCGCCTCAGCCTCCCGAGCAGTTGGGACTACAGGCGCCCACGACGGCGCCCGGCTAATTTTTTTGTATTTTTAGTAGAGACGGGGTTTCACCGTGGTCTCACGGTGGTCTTGATCTGCTGACCTCGTGATCCGCCCGCCTCGGCCTCCCAAAGTGCTGGGATTATAGGCGTGAGCCACCGCGCCTGGCCATTGTAGGGTATTTTCTTATATTTTCATTTGTTTGTTGAGTACACTTATCTAAGAGATACTACTATTTGATTTCAGAAACACCTCAGGATTTGAACATCATTTAAATTCTGAAAAGAGAAAACAAGAAAAATTCCCTTTCTTTCTGTCCTTCATTTAAAGGGACATTTACCATTTAAAAGAGAGAATTAGATCCCCGTGATCACCCTTGTGGGTGACAGATGACGGGCCACGCTCTTTGTGGGGTGTGGGGTGCGGACAGCTTGGGTTGCACAGGCTTGGGTCAGGGATGACAGGAGGAAGAGGTTCTCAGCTACTCAGCCTGTTACCAGGACCTGTCCCACCAGCAGAGGTACGATAAGGATGGTGGGCTCATGGCCTTTCATTACCCCAGTGGATTCTATAGAACACATTGCCTGTCTCTTGTCATCTATTTACCCGGCTTCTTTTGATATCCAGGTGAAAGAACTGGAGAAGGGTGCTTCAGGCCAGGCTTTTGAACTAATTCTCAGCCCTCAGTCAAAGGAATCAATTCTATAATTCCCTTTCCCCTCTCCACAGAAGAAGGAAAATTTCCTTAGAGGAAACTCAGAAGATATGAGAAGCTGCAAAAGAAAGGCACAAGTCCTACTAAGCTGAGATCTTGAAGCAGCTTGCAAAGGATGGAGAAATAAGTGGTTTAGAAAGCAATAGAAGAGAATACTAACTTCAGCAAAATGGCAAAAAGAACCTCACCCACAAAATGAAAGCTAATGAAGAGAATAGAGAGGCACAAATGGCTGTCAAACTGGAGTGTTTGCCAGAGAAGGATAAGCACACTGAACAGGTGCAGAAGAACAAAGAATCCAGAGGTCCTGTTGATGAGACTGAAGCTGACTAATTTGTTCTGAGAACTGACTTTCACCTCTCTTTCCTAAATATCCAAAAACTACTGGCCAGTGTCATTTATTCTTTCCCTTCTGACAATACTCTAGAAGCTAATGGGCAGCTGTATAGATAAACCCATAGAGTAATATGTTGGTTTAGGGGATAAAGGGGAGAAACTGAAAGTGTGGTTCTTTCTAATGTAGATATTTTTCTTGTTGCCTCTTTTTTATTTCGGTACACTTGGTGTGCTGGGCTAATGGCAAGTACTGTTTTTCTCTGTGAAAACATATTGTGAAGAGTATGTAGTGGCTTCTTTAGAACTTTTAATTGCTGAATAATATATGTTCACTTTTCAATCCCAATTGTGTCCCAATCTTACCAGATGCTTAAATAGTTAAGTACAAGATATTTAAATGGTTAATAAAACTACACAGTACTATTGGTGGTAGTGACTTCAAAAAAATAAAAAGATAGGCCATAGGCCTGGTGTGGTGGCTCACACCTGTAATCCCAGGACTTTGGAAAGCTGAGGCGGGAGGATCACTTGAGGTCAAGTTCAAGACCAGCCTAGCCAACATGGTGAAATCCTGTCCCTACTAAAAATACAAAAATTAGCCTGGTGTGCTGGCAGATGCCTGTAGTCCCAGCTACTCGGAAGGCTAAGGCAGGAAAATTGCTTGAAGCTTGGAGACAGAGGTTACAGTGAGATGAGATCATACCATTGTACTCCAACCTAGGTGATACAGCAATACTTCGTCTCAAAATAAATAAATAAATAAATAAAAAATAAAAAAAATGGAGAATTACAGGAACGTTTTTAAACTAGATTTGTGATTCTCTTGGTCCTCCAAATTTTACGGACAAATTTAATCCTCATAATAGATGACAAAAGAATCTTCCTTGAGGCTTTGACCAGCCCATAGATCCATAAGTTGAACCCATGCCCAGAAATTTCCCATCTTAAGTGCCCTAAACATATAAATTAATGAAAAAGTAGGGATTGTTAGTTTGAGAGAAGCCCTAATGAGAGAGATGGAAACCAAAATACACAACAGAAAAAAGTAAAAAGGAAATTGGAGAAAAGAGACACTTTAGTAATTAAAAATTCAAGTAATTTATTATTAATATACAAGTAATTTATTATTAATGTATTAATAATTGTATGCATGTGTTCAGAATTTTTTAGAAAATATGCATTTGAAACATTAGAAGATAAAAATCTAGAAAGCAGCTTGAAAAGTTAGAAAATAGAAGAATTGATGAGAAATAGTGAGACAGGTAAAGAAAATTAGAGGATCAATATGCCATCACCTAAAAATATTTCCAAAAATAAAAAATAGAGAAAAGGAGAGATATAAAATATCAAAGAAATCATTCAAGGGATTTTCCCAGCACAGTAGAGCATGTTTCCCAGGTGAAAAGAAACTACCCGGTTTCTGGCACCCTTGTATTAAAGCATATCACATTGAAATTTTAGAAAACTGAAGTTTGGCAAAGAGAGGATCCTAAAGGTTTTGAGAGTGGGAGAAGATATAGATATAGGTTACATGAAAAGGATCAGGACTCATAATCGCATCAGAGATTTCTGTAGTGGTACAGGCAACCAGTTGAAAAAAACAAAAACAAAAACAAAGCAAAAGCACTTTCAAAGTCCTGGTGGGACTTGTTCCCAAAATAAAATTGTATATTTTATCACCTATCAATCAAATATGAAGATAGAAAAACATTTTCTTCACACATGCATAGTCTCAAAAATTATCTCTATTCCTCTTTTCTCAGTAAGTTGCTAGCTGATGTACTCCACCAGTGATGTTTAAGTTTTGCATCAACTGAACTGGATCAGGGATGCCCAGATACATGGTTGAACGTTATTTCTGAGGAAGTCTATAAGGATGTTTTCAGATGAAATTAACATTTGGATCATTAGACTCAGTAACACAGGTGGCCTTTTTCAATGTGAGTAGACATCATTCAATCAACTGAGGCACTAATAGAATAAAACATGGAAGAAAGGAGGATTTACCTCTTTGTCTGTCCCACTCCTTTAGCTGGCATGTAATTATTCTCTTGCCCTGGGACCAGGATATACACCATTTTGTTTCCTTGATTCTCAAGCCTTTAGACCCAGACTGACTTACACGACTGGCTTCCGTAAGTTGAACCCATGCCCAGAAATCTCCTATCTTCTTTTAAGTGCCCTAAACATATAAATTAATGAAAAAGTAGGGATCGTTAGTTTGAGAGAAGCCCTCATCAGCTTCTATGTGGTAAATCATGGGACTTCTCAGCTTCCATAACCATATTAATCAATTCCCTAGAATAAATCTCTTTATATCCTACAGATTGTTTCTCTGCAGAATCCTAATATACCACTAAAATGAAGTAAACCAAGAAAAAAAAAAACCTATGTGGCCTAGAAGGAAGATTCAATGTGCAAAGAGAAGCGAATCTCCAGGATGAAAGGGGAAAGTTCCTCCCAGTAGGACAGCTGAGTCACAAGCCTCAAGAGCAATCAGCCCAGGCTGGTGACTTTTAGTGCTCATGAGAAAATATGTCTGTGATATACTAAGTCAGTAAAACATTTGACGTGCTTGAATGTGCTGAGGAGATTGACACTAACAGCAGGAATTTTGGAGTAAATTAATGGTATGTTCCCAGACAGTTAAGTAAATAAGAGAAGAAAACTGGTCTGAAAACTAAAGTTCTGGCCAGGTGTGGTGGCTCAGTCCTGTAATCCAAGAACTTTGGGAGGCCAAGGCTGAGGTCATGAGTTTGAGACCAGCCTGACCAACATGATGAAACGCTGTCTCTACTAAAAATACAAGATTAGCTGGACGTGGTGGTGCACACTTGTAATCCCAGCTACTTGGGAGGCTGAGGCAGGAGAATCGTTTGAACCCGGGGAGCGGAGGTGGCAGTGAGCCAGGATCGCGCCATCACACTACAGCCCGGGCAACAAGAGCAAAAAGAAAAAAAAAAAAGAAAGAAAACTAAAGTCTTGCCAGAAGTTAAATTCTATGTAGATACAAACCAAAACTAAACTGTGACTAGCCTTCACCCCTCTACATATACTCATAATGAAAACCTGAATACTAATAAAACAATAATATTATATTTTGAGAATGACTTGAGAAGTGTGAAATATGGGAAAATATGGTTTAAAACATGGGAAACAGATGGGAGCTTAGTCTTAAATTTTCATAGTAAAAGCCAATACACACTGTCTTTAAAAAAATGAAGTAGTGTGTCTGGAATTGGTGGGTTCTTGGTCTCACTGACTTCAAGAAAGAAGCCACAGACCCTGACAGTGAGTGTCAACAGTTCTTAAAGGCGGCATGTCCACAGTTTATTCCTTCTGACATTCAGATGTGGTCAGAGATGTCTTCAGAATTTCTTCCTTCTGACGTTCGGATGTGTTCGGAGTTTCTTCCTTCTGGTGGCTTCGTGGTTTCAGTGACTCAATAGTGAAGCGGCAGACCTCCACAGTGAGTGTTACAGCTCATAAAAGCAATGTGGACCCAAAGAACGAACAGCAACAAGAATTATTGCAAAGAACAACAACAACAAAAAAAAACGGTGGAAGCAGACACAATGGGGTTGCCACTGCTGGCTCAGGCAGCCTGCTTTTATTCTCTTATCTGGCCCAACCCACATCCTGCTGATTGGTCCAGTTTACAGAGAGCCGATTGGTCTGTTTTACAGAGAGCTGATTGGTCCATTTTGACAGGGTGCTGATTGGTGCGTTTACAATCCCTGAACTAGACACAAAAGTTCTCCAGGTCCCCAGTAGATCAGCTAGATACAGAGGGCTGATTGGTGTATTTACAAACCCTGAGCTAGATACAGAGTGCTGATTGGTGCATTTACAAACCTTGAGTTAGATACAGAGTGCTGATTGGCGTATTCACAATCCCTTAGCTAGACATAAAGGTTCTCCAAGTCCCCACTAGAGTCAGGAGCCCAGCTGGCTTCACCCAGTGGATCCCGCAGTGGGCAGCTGGTGGAGCTGCCTGCCAGTCCGGCGCTGTGCGCCTGCACTCCTCAGCCCTTGGGCAGTCAATGGGACCAGGCGCCACTGAACCGGGGCGGTGCTCGTCGGGGACGCTGGGGACGCGCAGGAGCCCAGGGCGGTGGGGGCAGGCTTGGGCATGGCAGGCTGCAGGTCCCGAGCCCCTGCCCCGCGGGGAGGCGGCTAAGGCCCAGTGAGCATTCCAGCGCAGCGCCGGCGGGCCGGCACTGCTGGGGGACCCAGCGCACACTCCGCAGCTGCTGGCCTGGGTGCTAAGCCCCTCACTGCCCCGGGCAGGCGGGGCCGGCCGGCCGCTCAGAGTGCGGGGCCCGCCAAGCCCACGCCCACCCAGAACTCTAGCTGGCCTGCAAGCGCGGCGCGCAGCCCCGGTTCCCGCCCGTGCCTCTCCTTCCACACCTCCCAGCAAGCCGAGGGAGCCGGCTCCGGCCTCGGCCAGCCCAGAGAAGGCATCCCACGGTGCAGCAGCGGGCTGAAGGGCTCCTTTTAAGCGCGGCCAGAATGGGTGCTGAGGCCGAGGAGGCACCGAGAGCGAGCGAGGGCTGCCAGGGCTGCCAGCATGCTGTCATCTCTCAGTAGCAAGGTAAGCACATATTTTATAGATGTGAAGAAAAATGCCTAACCAAAGAGCTAAGAGAATGGGATAAGGGCATGTGACTGCTATTTCTCTCACTAGGTTTTATAGATCCTTTTGATTGTTGGAACTATGTGAAGTAAAATTAAAGAAAATGAATGGCTGTGCTTCAATATTCGGTATCACTAAACAATATTATGTTATCCATGTTGCCCTTACAGAAACATTCTGATTTTTTAAAGAATAGTTGAACTTCGCAGGAAGTTTTCTGCCAGCTGTTTTTTTTTTTTTTTTTTTTTTGAGACGGAGTCTCGCCCTGTCACCCAGGCTGGAGTGCAGTGGTGCGATCTCGGCTCACTGCTAGGGTATTTTCTTTTACTTTTCTTTTCTTTTTTTCTTTTTCTTTTTCTTTTTTTTTTTTTTTGAGATGGAGTCTCACTCTGTGGCCCATGCTGGAGTGCAGTGGCGCGATCTCGGCTCACTGCAAGCTCTGCCTTCCAGGTTCATGCCATTTTCCTGCCTCAGCCGCCCGAGTAGCTGGAACTACAGTCTCCCGCCACCACTCATGGCTAATTTTTTGTATTTTTAGTAGAGACGGGGTTTCACCGTGTTAGCCAGGATGATCTCAATCTCCCGACCCTGTGATCTGCCCGCCTCCGCCTCCCAAAGTGCTGGGATTACAGGCGTGAGCTACCGCGCACATCCCTTGCCAGCTGCTTTTAAAGAATGTATGTACAACTATATTTTTAAATCAGTTATGTTTCTACCCTGTTTCACAAAATTCAAAAGCAGTTTGATAACATTCGTAATAAAGCCAGCTTCTTAATTTAGATAATAGAATTATAGATTCAAAGAAAACATTGTAAATTATGTAGCCAACCTATATACATTTACATGGGAGAAACTAATGCCCAGAAAAATTGGTGGCAGAAATGGAACTATTTTCAGTTAGTTATTATAATAATGTGGCAACAGAAATGAATACAAAGGGTCATAATATAGAGCCTATGGAATCAGACTGATTTGGTTTTACATTGTGTTTCCTTCCCTTTATCAGCAGGTAATATCTAGAAAATTATTTAAATCCTTTCATACTCAATTTCCTCATTTTAGAAGTGGGAAATAATAATTTATTGTATTAAATGTGATAATATACATAAGCTGTATCTCTGGCATAGAATGGCCTATAAAGTATGACATTACTGCCAATGTCAAGAATTATAAATCTTTGCTATGGGTAAAATGTGAGAAGTGGGAGTGTATTCTAATTAGGATGATCAGTAATTTATCATGCAATGTAGACAATCTTTAGAAGGAAAGAGGGCAGTGTTAACAATAACGCCAGGACCACAGGTTAAATCAGGATTGTCTCAGGCAAACTAGAATGTAAGATCTTCTTGGTATGATGTAGTGAGATTAACATAAGAAATGTGCAAGAGAGACTACTTGTTGGGCAAAATGGAGGTTATTTGAATGGTCTGTGAGGCACATTTAGTACCTAGAAAAAGTTGGTAGTACACTTAACAAATATTTCTCCAATAACTTTAAAAACTGTCCCAGTGGGAGGAAGGCTCTTGAAGGTAAAAAAAAATAAATAAATAAAACCTCAGGCATGTGAAAGATATAGAGGAACAAAGCCTACAAAAATAGCAAAGTTGGCTGATTTCTGTCAAGTTGTCTTGATGGCCTGCAGAGAGATAATGAGAAGCTGAGGACTAGTGATTAAAGGCTAGATATAAGAGTCAGAGTGGCTTTTTGGTAGCTTAAAAACAAACAAAAAGATTCAGGGCACAAGTTTTGTTACATGTATATGTTACGTAGTGGTGAAATCTGGGCTTTCCATGTAACTGTCATACAAATGGAGTACATTGTATTTGTTAGGTAATTTCTCATCCGTCACCCTCCTCCCAATCTCCTCCCACCGTCTCACCTTTCTGAGTCTCCAATGCCTATTATTCCACTCTCTAAGTCCATGTATACACATTATGTAGCTCCCACTTATAAATGAGAACATGTGGTATTTGCTTTTCTGTTTCTGAATTATTTTGCTTAAGATAATTATCTCCAGTTTCATCCACATTGCTGAAAAAGGCATGATTTTATTGTTTATTATGGCTGAGTACTATTCCATATACATCACATTTTCTTTCTCCAGTCATCTGTTCAGGGACACAGACTGATTCCATATTGTTGCTGTTGTGAAGAGTGCTGCTTTAAACATATGAGTATGGTGTCTTTGTAAAATAATGATTTCTTTTTCTTTGAGTAGATACCTAGTAGTGGGGTGGCTAGATCAAATGATAGTTCCGTTTTTTAGTTTTTGAGAACCTCTGTACTGTTTTCCATAAAGATTGTACTAATTTACATTCCCACCGCCAGTGTATAACGTGTTCTCTTTTCTCTGCATTTTCACCAACTTGTTTTTGTTTTTATTTTTTTAACTTTTTAATAATAGTCATTCTGATGAGTGTAATATGTTATCTCATTATGGGTTTAATTTGCATTTCTCTGATGTTTAGAGACGTTGAACATTCATATGTTTCTGGGACATTTGTATGTCTTCCTTTGAAAACGTCTGCTTATGTGCTTTGCCTACTTTTTAATGGTATTTTGTGCTTTTTTCCTGTTGAGTATTTCATAGACTCTAGATACTAGTCTAGATAAATGAATCCATTTTGTAGGATGCATAGTTTGAAAATATTTTCTCCAATTCTATAGGTTGTCTGTTTGCCATGTTGATTATTTCATTTGCTGTGTGAAAGCCTTTTGGTTTAATTAAATTCCATTTGTCTATTTTTGTTTTTGTTGCAATTGCTTTTGAGGTCTTAGTCATAAATTCTTTTCCAAGGCCAATGTCGAAAAGAGTTTTTCCTAGGTTTTCTTATAGAATTCTCATAGTTTCAACTCTTATATTTAAGCCTTTAATCCTTCTTGAGTTAATTTTTTTACATGATGAGACATAGGGATCCAGTTACATTCTTCTGCATGTGGCTATCCAGTTTCCCTAGCACCATTTATGGAATAGAGTGTCTTTCTCCAGCGTATGTTTTTCTCTACTCTGTTGAAGACCAGTTGGTTTTAAGTATGTGGCTTTATTTCTAGGTTCTCTATTCTATTCCATTGATCTAGCTGTCCAGTTTTATACCAGTACCATAATATTTTGGTTACTATATCCTTGTAGTATAATTTGAAGTCTGGTAATGTGATGCCTCTAGCTTTTTTCTTTTGCCTAGGATTGCTTTGGCTATTTGGGTTCTTTTTTGATTCCACAGGAATTTTAGGATTTTTTTTTTCTAATTCTGTGAGAAGTGAAGTTGGCATTTTGATAGGAATTGCATTGAAACTCTAGATTATTTGGGGGAGTCATGTTGTTTTAATAACATTGATTTTCCTAATCCATGAGCATGGGATGTTCTTCCATTTTTTTTGTATCATCTATATTTTCTTTTATCAGTGTTTTGTAGTTATTCATATAGAGATCTTTCATCTTCTTAAATGTATTCCTAGGCACGTTTTTTTTTTTTTTTTTGACATGGAGTCTCACTCTGTCGCCCAGGCTGGAGTGTAGTGGCGCAATCTTGGCTCACTGCAACCTCTGCCTCCTGGGTTCAAGCGATTCTTCTGCCTCAGCCTCCTGAGTAGCTGTGACTACAGGTGTGCACCACCATGCCTGGCTAATTTTTGAATGTTCAGTAGAGACAAGGTTTCACCATGTTTGTCAAGCTGGTCTCAAACTCCTGACCTCAGGTCCACCCACCTCGGCTTCCCAAAGTGCTGGGATTACAGACGTGAGCCACCGCACCCAGCCTCCTACGCACTTTTTTGGGTAGCTGTTGGAAGTGGTATTTAGTTCTTGATTTGGTTTTCAGCTTGGTCATTACTGGTGTATAGAAATGCAACTGATTTTTGTTCATTGATTTTGTATCCTGGAAGAACTAGTACCAGTAATACTGAAGCTGTTCAAAAAAACTCAAGGAAAAGGGAATCCTCACTTATTAATTCTAAAAAGAAAATTTCATTTCTTGCAATGGAAGAGCAAATAAAGCAGAGCAGCTAACTGAAGTCTGCAGAGCTTTGCAGACCTTTAAATGCTCAGCCCTTAAAGAAGATCTATTATGCGAGGTGAGGGTCTTAGAAGGAATTTGGGACCCTGAAATATGAGATGAAAATATCTCTATTTTATCTCAAGGATGCTGTCCCTGTATTACTCTCCAGAGCCTTCATAGCTTACATCTATGCTAAAGATGTTGAAAAAGATTTTTCCTCTCAGAAAGGCAGAGAGAGGAGCTTCTTAAGGAGCTCCTCTTCTGATAATTGGTCAGTAACTAAGTGATAGAGATGGAAGAAGGTTTTATACCCAAAGAGCTCCCATGTACACGAGTCAGCAAACTACCCTCAAGACTGAAATTTTACCAATAGAATCAAATATAAGTAAGATAAGTAATTCATTCACTTTGGGGCACTTTCTTGGGACACAGAATATAAACTCTGGCAAAACACTGGGAGGTGGAATGTACTCACTGTTAGGGCTTTCAGAAGCCTAAAAAAAGTAACAGCCAGTGCTGAGTGATATGAAAATGATTGAGTTTCCCTGGCTTAGTGGAGCCAGGAATAAAGTAGCTGTGCAAGGTGGACATTTTGTAATGCATAGATTATGTGAAGATCAGCTGGGCATGAGGGACCAGAGGATATATGAGAAATGAGCTGTTAAAAGGAGCACTAACGCCATGTGAATTTTATTTCTTCTGCAGAGAGAGACTAAGAGTTGGAGAGGTAACTGCTAGTAGAACTGAGTTCCTTAGTGTCCGTTGAGATGATTGGGCTCTGAAATAATAGAAGCCAGATGACATCACTTAACCAGAAAATAGGGCATGAAACTACATTTACTTAAAGCAATGCTTGAGGGGTGAACAAAAGCACTGCTCCACAAGGAACTATGGAAGTGATTCACAGAATATGGTGTTCTGAGGAACAAAATAGAATGGCAGCCAAACTGTGTTATTTAACATCTACAGTCAGTAAAAGACAACCATGGGAGGAACTAGATACCAAAAGTGTCCTCTGAAAATTCTGTGATTTTTTTTTTTCTCAAGTCCCAGTCCTAAGCTAATTTTTAAACTTGAAATCTATTTGACTGAACTGGTCACTAGGCTCCTAATATGAATAAGCCTGTGACCTTGCAAGGAATATATATATGGTAATGGTTTCTCCAAACCATCACCCAGAGGAACCTATGGCCATTTACACAGGCATTTTGAGGAAAGTAATACTTACACATTTTGAGAATTATTGAACACCAGGTTTGAGTTGGCACTTGTAACTAAAGATTCAAAGTGTCATCATGGTCCCACTTTTAGAAAGGAGGTCTGTGGGAGCCAGGTAGTAAATGGAGTCCTAGTTGACGTTCAGCTCACACTTGGCTACCTTGGTCCATTACCCTCTTAGTGGTCATTTCCTCAGTCCCTGAGTGTGATATTGGAATGGACATAATTGGCAGTTGGGATAAATTTCACACTGAGTACTTGGTTTTTGGGAGAGGCCTTTGTGCAAAGCCAAGTAGAAACCTTACAAAATGACTTCAAAACAGAACAGCAAAAGTAGTATTACATACTGGGGAGAGGGGGACATGGCAGATATTCTACCTGTAAAAACCTAAAATAAGGAAGGATGTGGTTTCTTATTTTGTAATTAATTTAATTCACTAGTTTGGTTCCTAAAAAAAGTGAAAGGATTGTAGAAAATGGCTGAGAGATCACTGCAAATTCAACCAGTGGTAGCTCCAACCACACTGTTGTAAGACATGTGAAATTGTCGCTAGAGTAGATTAACAAGATCTTAGGTATGTGGAATGCAGCTATTTTGATTAGGCAAGAGGATGACGGACAGTTTCCATTTACCTCAGATGAATTACAATATTCATTGACAGTTCTGCATTGGTACTATACTAATTTTCCTACCCTCTTCCTTAATATATTATGAAGATATTTGTACTACCTGAATATTCCACAGGATATCACACTGATCCATTAAAACAATGACATCACCCTACTTGGACAGGATGAGCAAGAGGTAGCTAAATCTACACCATTAGAGCTTTGGTGTCTCACACATATGCTCTGGAGGGTGAAAAATAAACACTCTGAAGATTCAGTGACCTGACACTTTAGTCAACTTTTTAAGGTTCATGGCCTCTCAGTTCCTACCCATAATAAATAAAGTACAGCTCTTGGTAGACCTCATTGAGCTCTTGAGGCAACATATCCCGGATTTAGCAATACTGCTCCAGGCCAATATACTGGGTGACAAAGAAGGCTGCAGATTTGTTGATACCTCTGCAGCAGGTCTAGGCTGAGGGGCAAACTGTTCTACCACAGTGATTCATCAAGCCCTATGGTGTCAGTGATTGCAGACTATATGGTATGATATATTTGTGTCACCTCTGTGAAAAAATTACAACAAAGTCCCCTGGAATTCTGGAAAAAAGCCAACCCATCCTCAACAGAGATTCGTGTATCGTTTTAGAAGTAACTCTTGGCATGTTACAGGGCTTTCATAGACATGAAACATTTGATGATAGGCCACCAGGTGAGTATGCATCAAAGAACTGTCCCTATGATCTGAGTTATGTCAGCTGTTCCAAGTCATAAAGTTGAATGGGCTGAAATAGCAGTTCATCCAAAAATGGAAATTGTACATCTGAGACTGAGCAGAGAATAGTAAGCATGGATAAGCTGAGGAGCAGGCAGCCCAGACTCCCAGGTTACCCACTATAGTAGCACCAGAACCTCTTCCCTGGTTGTCACCTACAGGGGATGATACTAGTAGCTAGCAGAGAAGGAAAATGCCCAACTTCTACTTTATGATTGGGACATACTGACATGAAAGAAGAAGCTAAGAATGGATTGTAGCTACATTACAGTCACATACAGGGGTGGTTTTAAAAGGCAGTGAGAAAAATAGCTTCTCAATGAGTAGAATTGTGAGGAGTAGGCCTAACTATTAGTTAGTTCTCATGCTGCTAATAAAGACTTACCTGAGACCGGGTAATAAATTAAAAAAAAAAAGAGGTTTAATGGACTTACAGTTCCACATGGCTGGGAAGGCCTCACAATCATGGTGGAAGACAAAGAAAGAGAAAGTCATGTCTTATGTGGCAGCGTGGCAGGCAAGACAGCGTGCGCAGTGGAACTCCCCTTTATAAAACCATCATATACTATTCACTATTATTTATCAGATATTTATTCACTATCATGAGAAAGACCTGCCTCCATGAATCAATTACCTACCACTGGGTCTCTCCCACAACATGTAGGAATTATGGGAGCTACAATTCAAGATGAGATTTGTGTGGGGACACAGTCAAATTATATCACTAACCATTCATTTTGTATAGTAGGTCAAGTGGCTGAATGTGGGAATGTGTGCAGATTTCTGGCAGTGACTAATGGCTTGACTGTCTCGTTATGGGCCTGGAAAGAAAATCAGAGATCAGATATCTCAATATTATATTTTATAAAGATTCAGTGTCCAATATTACATAGCTTTCAACTTGCAAAGAAAGTGGCACCTAGTAAGCTGATCACATTTCATGTTTTTTCTATGTCAAAAAAATTTCCGGCCAGGCACTGTGGCTCACTCCTATAATCCCAGTACTTTGGGAGGCTGAGACGGTCAAATCACGAGGTCAGGAGTTCAAGACCAGCCTGGCAAAGATGGTGAAACCCGTCTCTACTAAAAATACAAAAATTTGGTGGGCCTGGTGGCTGATGCCTGTAATCCCAGCTACTCGGGAGGCTGAGGCAGGGAATCACTTGAACCCAGGAGGCAGAGGTTGCAGTGAGCCGAGATCGTGCCACTGCACTCCAGTCTGGGTGACAGAGTAAGACTCTGTCTCAAAAAAAAAAAAAAAATTTCCTTTGAACAATTTAAAAGTTTTCAATTTAACTTCAATCTTTAACTATATTTGACTTTTTGAACTACATTTTGTAACTGTGTGTGTGTGATATATGTGTAGGAATAAAAAACCAATTATTTTTTCTTCTTGTGTTAGAAAAAGAAAATTGTCATAAACCACCATGCTTGAATAAGTATGGAAAAGAAAAATGCCAGTGTGATAACATAGAAGTTGCCACTAAATTATTTAACTATCACATTTCTTCATGGAGCTGAATATTTTCTTATAAGCATCCAGCAAAGAGTGAGATCTCAGTGATCCAAAAGATTAGGCTGATTAGGCTGGCCTCAATATGCTTAATATCATGATTTCTTTAAGCATCTATTGGTTTCACTGTCTTACTTTAATTTTCTTAGAAACTTGATTTTTTATTAGTCAGGAACACTATTTTCAGACTTCCAAAGCTGACATATCTATAATATTTTATGCAATTACTATGTTTTCTGTATAACAGAAAGAGGAAATCACATATTTTTCAAAGTATTTTTACCTGTATGGCGCATATTTCCATACAGACTGATTACACTTCATTGTGACAGACTAGGAAAAGGAGATATTTTCTCAAATGATAGTTATTTGCTGTTAGATGCCTAGTATAAAGGGTATAAAGTTATCTAAAGTGAAATATTTGAGCTTTCTTGCATAACTTCGATGCAGGAATTCCTGTAAGTATTGATGTCTTATTAGTAATACCCTTTGTCTAATGAAACTATTATATATGAAATTTCATAAAGTAGTTTTGTGTCTATATAGGATTTTATTTTTATACTGGAGATATTTGATCATTGTTCTCCAACTTTAAGGAGAGAGATTGAACCATTGCAATAAACTAACCGGTCCTCTAATAGTTATTCTCCCTTCCAAATTTTCAAACCTGCAACTTCTTAATTAAACTTTTCAAAGTGTATGTCCAGGGCTTTCAGTGACATCTTAATAAAACCTATGAATGGGTAAAATTTTTAGTCTGAAAAATTTTGCAAGAACCCATACGAAATATCCTCAGCTCACATTTTCTTCAGCCTCATTTATTATTATATGCTGAGTATTTTGTGCAATAGATAAGTGTGAGTACTGAGTTCCCTGCTTCTCTAATGCCCTTAAAGCCTAGCCAGTGTCTTTGACCTCTATGTTTTTTCTTCAGTACCTACCACAGTGTGTAGGACATAATGGGAGCATAAATGTTGGTGTTTAAGCTAGAGATTTATCTTTCCAACTACAAAAAACAATTATCCATTTCTACAAAAATATAGGCAATCTGTTGGAATACAGAAAACTTCTAAGCCAACTCACACTCTTTGCCAGAGAGCCAGCCTTCTGATTAAACAACACTTTGATAGGAGATAGAGAGCCCCATCCTTCAGAAGGGGAAGACGTGTTATTTTGAATACACCTGTTACAGAACAATAATTAAGTGCAGTTAAAATAGAATTAGCCATCATATTTAGACATTTTATGGACAGAATTGCCTTTTGTGGCCTTCCTGGAAAAATAGAGAACACTACACAATCCAACTTACATAGAAAAAATCATTTGAGTTCCAAATGGCTGAATTAAAAGAACATTTTAGAATACAACCTTCATATAGGATGGAGATTATGTTTTCAATAACACCTACACTCAGAGGGATTTATTTTAATTGAGATAGTCCTATGTAATATTTTGGCCATGGGCAAGATGACAGAGCCAGCTGAAAAGCCTGTCTAAACACTAATTGAGAAGCAGAGAGAACTTGGGTTCTTTGTAGTATGATCACAACTCTTCATGAAATCTTATTAGTGAAATTTTTGATAATGACTCATCTCATTTCCACTCTGGCAACGTCATATCATATAATTCTTTACAAAGATAAAGAATGATCCCAATGGATTGAACGTTGAGTTCAGCAGATTAATGTTACAAATGTATGTGTGTTTTATATGTGTGTATGTGTATGTAGTGTATGTATAGGTAGATGTATAGTTATATATACACATATTATCATATGTACATATTTTTTCTCTCTCTCTTGCACATACACATGCATATATTTATATTGCTTTTAACTATTTTGTTAGCTGGTCAATACTTATTGGAGTGCACCTTTGGTATTCAATAATACATGCAAAAGTACTTAAAGAGTTTTTTAATATACATCTTATTTGGTAACATGTATTTCATAAGCAGTGGATTTGGAGAAAGATAAATCTTTGCATCACTAGTCTAGGGCAATTTTAGCTCTGCTACATTCCCTCTCGCCCAGCTGCCTATTAAATTTATTTCTTGCTATCAGCAGGGTATGGTTAATGAGTGTTAACCAAAGAATACTTTAAAAAATAAGAAAGCTCAAGTAAGCCACAGAATTTGAAAAGACTCAGTATGAAACTTAGCACATGAATATGTTCGTTATTCTTCTCAATCATCTCTTTTACTTTTTTTCAGAGAATTTCCTGAGACTTGAAAAATGTGGCCTTTGACACTGTAAGAACTAAAATGTCTCATTTAAGATATTTTTCAGCCTTTCATCAATAAAGTCTCAAAAGGTCTGCAAAATTATAGTAATATTGCTTACCTTAACAAGTTTTCAATATATTTTGGTTACTTAAGTAAATCAGAATTTCTTCATCATTGACTTAAAATTATTTCAAACTTGAAGTAAATCTCTTGATTTGGGTTCTTCCTATAGAGAGGGGGAATAAAGATCATAGAATTATACACATAATATGACTTTGCTACAAATAATATACATATAAAAGGAAATGCAAAGAGATTGAATGACTTTGTTAGCAAATATTAAAATGATAAGTCAAATTTTGTCGGAGAGGGTATCTGAGTCAATCTTGTTAATGAGAAATAATGAAAAGCCTAGAGCTGAAATTTGCAGATCTAGCACTTTGTACAGTCAAAACATTTTAAGCAAACACAATTATAAACCACATACATTATGTATATCAGAACATTTATTAACCAGAACAGTACCATAGTGTTAAGTTTCTCAAACTAAGAGCATCTTTTTGTTACAACAATCTACATAAATTTTCAGATTTAGAATAATTTTCTAGAGCAGTGCTTTTAAAAATCAGTGGGGGCCAGGCGCGGTGGCTCACGCCTGTCATGCCAGCACTTTGGGAGGTGGAGGTGGGCGGATCACGAGGTCAGGAGATCGAGACCATCCTTGCTAACACGGTGAAACCCCGTCTCTACTAAAAATGCAAAAAATTAGCCGGATGTGGTGGCGGGTGCCTGTAGTCCCAGCTACTCGGGAGGCTGAGGGAGGAAAATGGCGTGAACCCGCGGGATGGAGCTTGCAGTGAGCAGAGAGCGCTCCACTGCACTCCAGCCTGGGTGACAGAGCGAGACTCTGTCTGGAAAAAAAAAAAAAATGGTGTGAACCTGGGGCGCAGAGCTTGCAGTGAGCAGAGAGCGCGCCACTGCACTCCAGCCTTGGCGACAGAGCGAGATTGTGTCTGAAAAAAAAAAAAAAAAATGTGGGAAAGGGCCCCTCCCTCCCTCTCCTGGTTCCTAACTTCTGTCTCTCCCTCCTCTTTTGCTCTTTCTCTATCTTTCTGTCCCTCTAATACTTATAACCCATTGTAGATGAATACTTTTGTAGAATATCATATATTTGCTATCAATCCCCTGAATTCTATTGAATCCCCTTATTTGGCCCGAAAGGCCCTCATCTTCCTTTTTCCCAAAAGCATTCTCTGTAATTTCATCCTTCTAATGAATATTGTAAAGAACTATGAAACGTCTGAGGTTTTACACTATTTGTAAGCTAACAAGTTAGCATAGCACAATTTCATAGGTCGGGGGAAGAGATGAGAATTCTGGGTCAGAGATAAAGGACTTTACTTCTCCTGGCACAGTAAGCAGCAGAGCAGCATATTTGCACATTTCACTGGTCCAAAGTCCCACAGAGACATGTAAATGAACCCAGGTGGCTGCATTACAGAGAGGAACCCTAACCTTAGGGAACCCAGAATTTTTACAAGGGAGAACAGGCATGCCTATCCTTTTGTCAAAGGAAGTCATTATCTTATACTAGACAATAAGCATGCCTGCTCTTTGATCTAGAGGAAGACACTACCTTTAATTTCCAGGGTTTTTTGCTATACAAACACTCTTAAAATGTCAGTTTTGAACAAAGGCAGTCAGTACTCTGTCTCAGAAAATGTAAAGAAATATGAGACCCATGGAGAATTGGCTGTCAGCAAGTGGGTTTTGTCTCAGATCTTTTCATATAACACCTATGTGATGGGGGTTCTTGACATCCTGCCTTACTCCTCAAACTTAACATGCTTTATGTACTTTAAATTCCAAGTGAATGAGTTTTACCTATTGTTAATATCCTTTCCACTGTCAGTAAACACATTATAAAATCTAGTGTACCTGGAACATTTTTAGGCAGTGGTCAACTCTGTTTGCTTGACTGTCCTGCAGAGAATGTGAATGTGGTATTTGTGTGTTTTCATCGTGGGATATTTTTGTAAGTTAATTTTGTTTTGTTTTGCTAAAGAATTGACATATTCACCCTATTTCCTTACGTAAGATTAATATGAGATCTTTATGTGTCCTGATACAATCTACATGTCTTTTTTTTACACATATATTTTGGCCTCATTTATTCTCTTTTCTACAAACATGTTTGGCTCTTTCTGTGGCCAGACAGTCCTAGTGATGAGAATTTTGTGGAGGTGTGTATTTAATTGTACAATGTTTACTTTTCCTATTGCTTTAGCTTGTTACACAGCCCTTTAGATTTGACTACAGTTTATTATTAATGTGCTTTTATTAGTTTCCAAGCAGCAGGGATAAAGTGATAATGGCTGCTTAATTTCTTTTGTACCTTAGCTTGTTGAGCACTGGTATATTACGACGGTAAATAAGCACTGTTTGATTATTTGATTATGTGGCAGTGCTTTGTAATATTCAGAGAAAGCAGAGAAACTTGAAATAAAAAACCTTTTTTTACTGAGGTGACGAAATCTTGTTCCTTTAAAAGAAAATGCTCTTGTGTTTGTCTCATCCACCAAAGGGCTACATATCCTAAGCCATTTTAGGGCTCTGCAGGGCATAAACTATACACTTGAGATGTTTTAACCTTGAATTCGAATTGAGATTCCATGGATCACAGAAATTTACAAATAAACAACTGATGATCAAAGTGATTGTAAAAGGGCAAGTTTGGAAACGAGGCTACAGTTAGAGAAGACAGAAAGTAATAAAATATTTTCTTCTGAAAATGGAGGGACATCATTACATTTATTCTATAAAAATAATTTATATTTCTTTTAGAAATGTATTATCTATATAAATTATGAAAGTAGTACATGCTTATTTAAGCTAACAAATCAGTCAAAAGTGTAAGGCAAATATATTTAAACTTTTTCCACCTTACTGAATTAACCAATAATAACAGCACTGACATGTATTTTTCTATACTTTTATGAATTATCATATGAATATACATAAAACATGCACACATCTGTGAAGGT
Organism: Homo sapiens; assembly: GCF_000001405.40. Classification (NCBI taxonomy): domain Eukaryota; kingdom Metazoa; phylum Chordata; class Mammalia; order Primates; family Hominidae; genus Homo; species Homo sapiens. The sequence goes on along the minus strand of NC_000004.12, from coordinate 137,407,409 downwards.
TTATGGTTATCTTTCTATGAAAGAGGCTGTTAAGCTGTTACACACACATATGTATTTATAATTTATATAATGATTTGCTTAGTATAAAATTATAATGGCTCTGTTTTTCAATAAATGACTATACATCTACTTCATTAATTTAAATATCTTCTAATATTTCAATAGTACTTATTTGATATAATTATTAAACAATACCCTTATTATTGTTTTATTTTCTGCTATATGCAAATATAATAAAATTCCTTGCACATAAATCTCTTGCATTAAAAATTCCTGCACATAAGTTCTTATAGACTGAATATTTTATTACCTTAAGGCTATTTCACAGTAAAGAATTTCCAAGTCAAAGATTATGGTATCTTAAATTTTAGCAGCTATTGTAATTTTTTTAAATGCCAATTCCCAGAATATTTCCGAAGATCTCCCAAATTTCTACTCTAACTATCAATACGTGAATTCTACCTATCACTAGCGCCTATTCCTTTTTCAAATATTTATTTAATTTGCATTTCTCTGACTCTGATGATGAAGATTAAGCCTCTCTTTATACATTATTAACCATCTGGGCTCTCCTTCTGTGAAATGCTATGTACTTTGACCACTGTTATTGATTGTTTATCTTTCAATTTGTTTATATTTGTTATTTGTGTAGTGAGCATATTAATCCCATGCCTGCCACTTGTGTCACAAATATTTATCAAGGTAACATTTTTCTATATACTTGTTATTGGTATCTTTTGCCATACAACTAAACAATTTATGTGTAATGCCATATACCTTTCATTTTGCTTATGGCAGCTGAGATTTCTACATTGCTTAGGATGACCTACTGATCTACCTATTTGTAATACTTCAAAGGTTTTTTTTTCCTTGGTAAATGCTTGTAATCTTACAAACATGAGTCAATCAAATATATGACAGAACTTGTGCAGTCTGGGATTGGAGCTAAGCTTCTGTGTGAGTTTGTTCATATTTTAGAAGCTAAATATTATATTTTATCCTCCTCTTCCAAGAAAAGCCATGATACTATATCTATTTGTATCTTTCCAAGGCCTTGATTGATCTGATTAGTTACCTGTGAAATGGGACTAATGCACAAATAGTAGGTTTCTCTGTATTATTTGAGATTGTTTTTTTTGAGAAATGAACACTATAAATCAATATAAAATTGAAGATATTA